>NC_000003.12:164311634-164463149 GCF_000001405.40 Homo sapiens | reverse complement strand
ATATTTATTAGTCTATTTGTATTTGCTAGTGAGGCATTAACATCATTTATTAAAAATGTTAACCAGACATTCAGGGTGACATTCAGGCCCCTGTCACCATATAGCAAAATTAACTCAAGATAGATTAAAGACTTAAGTATACATTCTCGAACTATATAAATTCCAGAAGAAAACCTTGAAAATAACTTTCTCACATCAGCCTTGGAAAATAATTTATGGCCCTCTTCAAAAGCAATTGCAACAACAACAAAAATCCATGAGTAGGACCTAATTGAAGTAAAGAACTTCCACACAGCAAGAGAAACTATTGACAGAGTAAACAGACAACCTACAGCATGGAAGAAAATATTTGCAAACTATGCATCTGACATAGGCCTACTATCCAGAATCTAAAAGGAACTAAACAAATAAACAATGAAAAAACAACCCCATTTAAAAGTGGCCAAAAGATACAAACAGACACTTCTTAAATGACGACATCCAAGTGGCCAACAAACATACCAAAAAGTGGTCAGCATCATAATCATTAGAGAAATGCAAATCAAAATCACAATGATATACTATCTCACACCAGTGAGAATGGCTTTGTTAAAAAGTCAAACAATAATAGATGCTGGCTAGGTTGCAGAGAAAATGGAATGCTTATACACTGCTGGTGGGAGTATAAATTAGTGCAGCCACTATGGAGAGCAGTTTGGATATTTTTCAAAGAACAGGGTTGAACTACCATTTGACACAGTAATCTCATTACTGGGTATATACTCAAAGGAAAATAAATTACTGTACTGAAAATACAGGTATCCATATGCTCATCATAGCACTATTCACAATAGCAAAGACATGAAACCAACTCAGGTGCTCATCAGTGGAGGATTAAAGAAAATGCGATACATATGCACCATAGAAAATAATGAAATTATGTTATTTGCAGCAACATTGAATAGAGCTGGAGGTGATTATCCTAAGTAAACTAATGCACAAGCTGAAAACCAAATACCACATGCTCTCACTTATAAGTGGGAGGTAAACATTGGGTACACATGGACATAAAGATGGGAACAATAGACATTGGAGAATACAACAGGGGAAGGGAAGAGGGAGACAAGGGCTGAAAAACTACCTATTGGGTACTATGATCACTTCCTGGGTGACAGGTTGAATTGTACTCCAAACCCCAGCATCACACAATATACCTTTGTAACAAGCCTGCACGTGTACCCAAGAATCTAAGATATATGTTGAAAAAGAAAAAAAGATTTAATTAAAAAAACACTAATTTCATATTGAAATGATGATATTTTGGACATGGTAACAAATAAAATATATCATTTTTCTAAAAAAAAAAGTTACCCTGAATTTACATCTGAATGTATATGATGTTTTAGAGAAAAAAGTTTAAATTGTTCAACCTTTGATATTTATTTTCATAATTTTGAGACATACATATATATATATGTAGGTTTATATATATAAAATCTCTTCAAACGCTTGATTTGAAGTCAAAATTTTAAATGCATTAAAAGAACAGAATATGCATACCTCATTTGAACATTCTGAAACTTTACAATATCTGCTGAAATTTGGCCTTTGATGCTAAAATACTTTTTGTTTTATTAGAAAGAATGTATTTTAATTATATATTTAAACTAATTATAGTTAGGGTTGCCCAAGCCACATTAATGATGACCAAATTTCCTTTTTCTATTTTCATGTAAATTCCAAATCTGTATGCCCATTTAAAATAATGAGTTCTGCAGTATTAACAGGAATTTAATATACTCCTTGGCAAACATTGGAAGTCACTAAACTGTTTATATTGTATGAATAATTTTTTACTTAGTTTTGTCCTTCCAATTATTAGATTAAATATCCTTGGCAAAATTAACAATGAAAGTACTTTTTCAAGAATTCACTCACTAAAAGCAGTAAGAATAATCTGGCTGTATGGTATTCTTTTTCTCCTCCTTCTTGCCTCACCTAATAATAGTCACGAGATCAAGATGAAACTACCAGAATTCAGTTGATCTAAAAATAGATAGAGTCTCGTCAGGCCAGCTGTTAAGAAAATGAGAGTAAAGGAATGCTCAGCCAGAACTGAATAATTAAACTCTGCAATGATCATGAAATGCAGAGGACTAAGTCACTGGTCTGAGTGGCAGGCAGTTGGACCCGAGCAGGGAGACAGGGAGTAAAACTGAAAGTGCTATCAATATCAAGAAGAGTCACTCAGAAGCATAGTATTCAAGTTGACAGGCAAAACTTTAAATTTTAAATAGAGTTTCTAGGTTGGATACATGCAGGAAGTCAGAAATTCACATAAGCTGTTGTAGAAGGAGAGATAGATTCACATACAATGGCAGCCATTTTTAGGCCTTTTACTAGAAGCTAGAAAATGAGAGGGGAGATTACAAACGAGAAATCCTAAAAGAATGTAGTAGGGGAACTTGTAGCCAAACACCTAAAACATCTGATACAATAATTATTACATAATTAAATTATCTAGGAATTTGTATAATAGGGTGTTAGAAGAAAGGATATAAGAACAAGAATATATAATTTTATTTAATATAATACCTAAATCCTGGTCAAATAAAGCAAGTGAAAGTAAAATAAAAATGAATTTACTACAAAGTTATTTAGTTAAACCTAAGCAAAATATTTAAAAACACATTTTTCCGTCTACAATTACCATCTAGAAGTATAAAAGTGGTACAAGTGTAATTTTTGCTAAAATATAATTGGCTGTTTTTCTTGTTGGTAGATTGTTCTTTTTTGTTAAATATTTAAGCTAAGCCTACATAATCTATTTTTATTACTGAATAAATGATCTTCTGAACTTTTGGTGAGTGGCCAAAAAAGACATATATGGGTATTTACTATCACTTTAAATGTCTTCTCCATCAAATTACATCTTCATATCCTTTTTGGTAAATCTCTCAAAGCCAGGTTCAATGAAAGCTAATTAAGCCACTTCATCAGCACGTCTATTACTTAGGGCACTTTCACTTGCAAGTAACAGAATATGTGGCCATGGCATGAGGACTAAAATTACCGTTTAATATTATATGTTGCTTTTACATCTGGGAAAGTTGAGAGGATTTCAAATGGCCTAACTACGAGTTGTCTACCATACTCTGCTCCTGTGGATAAAGTCCCCTAGCCAAACAGCCCTCCTTATCAAATAGACCAAATGCAGTTCTCATTTATCTCTAGAGAGCAGGTTTCAGTTTACTGCCATTTAAATAGTTATGCAAACAAGCCAGTCACATACTCTATGGGAACCAGGAATTACCTCAAATCCTTGATACTACAAGCCTTCCTCCAAGAACGCCTGGTTGTTCACGCTGTTCTTGAGTACACTCTCTGTGGGGCCCTGCATGAAATGTAGTGTCTTTCTCTCTGAACTGTGATTATGTGACTAATAGACTGTTGTCTATATCATCTGTTCAGTGTTGGGTATCAAGTGTTCAGCCAGCTGCATAACTCTAGGATGGATATCCCTCTCATATCAATGGGGTGAAGATGAGGTGATGAAAACAATGACTAATAGTGGCTTAAAGAATAAACTTAAATGATTCAAAAGCAAAAAACAAACAGCCCCATTAAAAATTGGGGAAAGGACATGAACAGACACTTTTTTAATTATTATTTTGAGACAAAGTTTCACTCTTGTCACCCAGGGTGGAGGGCAGTGGTGCGATCTCGGCTCACTGCAACCTCTGCCTCCTGGGTTCAAGCGATTATCCCGCCTCAGCCTCCCAAGTAGCTGAGATTACAGGCACCCACCACTACTCCCAACTAATTTTTATATTTTAGTAGAGACAAGGTTTCACCATGTTGGTCAGGCTAGTCTCAAACTCCTAACCTCAGGCAATCGCTTGCCTCGGCCTCCCAAAGTGCTAGGATTACAAGTGTGAGCCACCGCGCCTGGCTGAACAGACACTTTTTAAAAGATGACATACTTGTGGCCAACAAGCATATGTTCAACATCACTAATCATCAGAGAAATGAAAAATCAAAACCACAATGACATACCATCTCACATTAGTCAGAATGGCTATTATTTAAAAGTAAAAAAATAACAGATTCTGGTGAGGTTGCAGAGAAAAAGAAACACTTATACACTCCTGGGAATGTAAATTTGTTCAGCTATTGTGGAAAGCACTTTGGCAATTTCTGAAATAATTTAAATCAGAATTACCATTTGATCTAGCAGTCCCACTATTGGGTATATACCCAAAGGAATAAAAATAATTCTACCAAAAACAAACAAACAAACAAACAAACAAAACACATGTGTTACCACTCAACAGACACACCTTGCCTGGATACGTAGACAGAACCGACTTATCAAGACAGAGGAATTGCAACAGAAAAAAAGTTTTTCACATAGCACTGGCTGCATGAAAGACCAGTTTTATTATTATCCAAATCAGTATTCCCAAAAACTTAGGAAGGCAGGAGTGCAGTGGTGTGATCTCAGCTCATTGCAGCCTCCCTGTCCCGGGTTCAAGTGATTCTCCCAGCTCAGGCTCCTGAATAGCTGGGAATACAGGCACCTGCTAACATGCGTGGCTAATTTTTTGTATTTTTAGTAGAGACAGGGTTTCACCAGGTTGGACAGGCTGGTCTCAAACTCCTGACCTCAGGTTATCCACCTGCCTCAGCCTCCCAAAGTGCTAGAATTACAGGTGTGAGACAAGGCACCCGGCCAAGACTGAATATGCTTAAGATATCCATATTGCCCAAAGTGGTATATAGTTTCAATTCAACTCCTATCAAATTCCAATTATATTTTTTGTAGAATAGAAAAATTTATCATTAAATTCATATGGAATCTCAAACAACCCCTAGTAGCCGAGACAATCTTGAAAAAGAAGAACAAAGCTGGAGGACTCACACTTTCTATTTCAAAACTTACTGCAAAATAGTGTAGAACTAGCATAAAGACAGATGCACACACCAATGGGATAGAATAGGTATCCCAGAAATAAGCCTTCTCATATATGGTCATATGAGTTTTGACAAGGGTGCCAAGACCATTTAATGGAAGAAAGACAATCTTTACAACAAACGGCACCAGGAAAACTGGATTCTCACTTTCAAAGTAATAAAACTGGA
The DNA here is from genome assembly GCF_000001405.40 of Homo sapiens. Lineage (NCBI taxonomy): Eukaryota > Metazoa > Chordata > Mammalia > Primates > Hominidae > Homo > Homo sapiens. The sequence continues at coordinate 164,458,028 of NC_000003.12, read as the reverse complement.
TCCTTACCTAGAACCAGATACAAAAATTGACTCAAAATAGATCAAAGACCTAAATGTAAGACCAAAACATACACAACTCTTAGGTAATAACATAGGGCAAAAACCTCACAATATTAGATTTGGAAATGAGTTAACAGACATGACACAAAAGACACATGCAACAAAAGAAAAATTAGACAAATTGGAATTTATAACTTTTTTTTTTTTTTCTGAGACAGAGTCTTACTCTGTCTCCCAGGCTGTAGTGCAGTGGCACAATCTCGACTCACTGCAAGCTCCGCCTCCCGGGTTCATGCCATTCTCCTACCTCAGCCTCCTGAGTAGCTGGGACTACAGGCGCCTGCCACCGGGCCCGGCTAATTTTTTTTTTTTTTTGTATTATTAGTAGAGACGGGGTTTCACCATGTTAGCCAGGATGGTCTTGATCTCCTGACCTCATGATCCGCCCGTCTCGGCCTCCCAAAGTGCAGGGATTACAGGCGTGAGCCACCGCACCCAGCCCTATAACATTTTTAAAAAATATTTATCAAAAGACACTACCAGCATAATAAAAAGGCAACCAGCAAAATGACAGAAAATAGTTGTGAATTTTATATCTATAAGGTATTAATATTCAGAATTTGAAGAGAACTCTTAAAACTCAGCAAGAAAACAAATAACTTACTTAAAAAAATGGGCAAATATCTTGAATAGACATTTCTCCAAAGAAGGTATACAAACGTCCAGGAAGTACATGACAAGATGCTCAAGATCACTAATCATGTTGCAAATCAAAACTACAATCAGATACCACCTCACACTCATTAGAATGACTGCTACCAAAAAGCCAGAAAGTAGCAAATGTCAGCAAGGATATAAGGAAACTGGAACTCGTGTGTGTGGGCACTGTTGGTGGAAATGTAAAATGGTTCAGCCACTGTGGAAAACAGTACGGCAGTTCCTAAAAAAAAATTAAAAGTAGAATTACTATATCATGTAGCAATTCCACTTCTGGCTATATCCCCCCAAAATTGAAAGCAGCGCCTTGAAGAGATATTTGTATACCCATGTTCATAGCAGAATTTCACAACAGTTAAAATTTGAAAGCAAACCAAGTGTCCATTAACTGATGAGTGGATTAGCAAAATGTGCTATATACATACATAGAATATTATTCAGCCTTAAAAAGAAAAGAAATTCTGACATATGCTGCAATGTGGATGAACCTTGAGGATATTATGCTAAGTGAAATAACCCAATCACAAAAAGATCAATACTGTACGACTCCACTTATATGAGGTACTCAGCAAAGCCAAAATCATAGAGCCAGAATGCTGACAGTCAGGGGCTGGGGAGAGTGGAGAATGGGGAGTTATTGTTTTTATAAGTCTAAAGTTTTAGTTTTACAAGATAAAAAGAGTTACGGAGATGGATGGTAGTTAGGTTTGCACAACGTTATGAATGTATTTAATGTCACTGAACTTAAAAGTGGTTAAGATGGCAAGAGTTGTGCTGTGTTTATTCACCACGATAAAAAAAATTAGTTATTTCACATGAGAAACAGACAGTAGTCTTTTCATGGTTGTTTCAACATCTCAACCTGATTAAGGATGTAAGCTGTTCCAACATTTCCAAGCATTCACTTGACTATGTGTGGACTTGCATTTAATATCTTTGCTGATTTTAATAGAATACATTTTGTATTTGGGCTTGTTTTTTTCATATTGCTGGTCTTGGCATTATCATATTCTCACACAATTGTATTTTGTTATAAAATGCAAATGGTCCAGACAGGAAAGGAATGGTGGTGTTCTTGCACCTTTCTTTTCCTCAGAAAGGAAAATTTGTCTTAGAATCCATCAATGTCTCTCCCCTGGGAAGTCAGAGAAATGACGTTTTATGACTGTTAGCAGGTAATAAATGAGACCTACCATAACTTAATTGCCTCAAATTCCATATTCTTCTATGAATTGTATGAATTTGACAAACCACCCAAAATATATACCAAATTTACCATTCTGTTAAAAAATTCCATTAAAAGGTTTTCATATTCATGAGTTACTTTGTGTTTAATACATCATTTTTAAATAAATTTATCTAGCATTGCCTTCTGAATGTATGAAGATTATTTCAATTTTTGTTTTTATGTTTTTCAAAATAGAAAAGGCTATAAAATACTTACTATATTTAATATTAAATTGTATTCTATTCTATATTAAAATTTAAGTTATTTTTATAATGCATTTTTCTCGTTAATATAATGTTAGCCTTTGTTTAATATTAACCAGTTTATATTTTGCTTGACATCTTATTTTTTAGTTACTAGGTTCCATACCAGATTGGTAAACAGAAGCATATTAGCTTTTGGCAAAATGGCATCTCCAAGCAATGGAATATATTTTTATACATAGGTGTATACACTAATTTTTTTCTAACTTTATTTATTCTAAAAAATTTGCTATTCTTCAAAACAGAATTAATTTAGAAACAGATTAAATCACCACAGGTAAATCGGAATTGATTATAGCTTGCGCTTATACAGTAGATAGTATATGCTAGATCTGTACCTATGTTGTATTATTTAATAGATCAAATACATGAATGCCAAGAAAATTGAGTGCACAGTACTCACTTGCTAAACGTGAAGTACTATAATAATAGAGATAGAGTGTTTATTTAGTCAACATACAAATCCTATGAGTTAGGTTTACTTTTCCTCATTTTATAAACTAGAAAGCATAAGCACAGAGAATGTAATATTTTTCACATTCAAACACTGGTAAATTAAAGTCAATATTCAAACTTAGGCCTATAAGATTCCAAATGGTTTTATCTTTCTTCACCATTAGGGGAGGAAAAATAGTATTCTATAATATCATTATGTGGAAAGATCTGTTGGGAAATCAAATGAGCCCTACCCTGGCATGTAAAACATATAAACTGAAAATTCTAGAAAAAAAATTACTTTCAGCCTCTAAAAATATATATCCCCTTCAACCTCACTCTTTACATGAAGAATTCCAAGAAATATCACACTTTCAAGAAATGACAAATATTTTTCCTTTGATCATTTTCTTCCCACTCCCACATCTCCTTCTCAAGGATGTATAACTGATGTATAATCAGCTATTTTTTTTAGAAGCCTCTCTCCTACATCCACATAGCCCTCTGTCAGAATCATGGGGAACTGAACTGTGATTGATATCTCACCAGCCATGCTAACAAGAGAGCGTTCCTTTCTGGAATTTAAACTGGACCCTAATGTTTCTAATCACTCCCCAAAGACTGTGAACAACAAAGTCTTGCAGAAGAAATGCTGGGCCTGAAATTGAGAACATGGAAACAGATAAGACAAAAGAGGCAGAAAAAGAAATCTTATAACTTTAGATAAAGAGGAATACTGAGAAGCAGAGATAGTGAGAGAGAAGAAGATCTAGATTAAGAGTGAGTAAAAAAAGAGCAATATCCTTGATTCCTCATGGCTTGCTAGTTCCTGGAGTCAGACTTTTCAAAAGCCTCATTGCAATTAAGACATCAGGTCTCATGAGATACATCCATATCATTCCAATGAATTACCTTTTTGACTTTAATCTTTCTTTATTATCTCCTTGGAGTTAAAGGAGCCCCACTTGAGAAAAGAGAAATGCAGTACAAATTGACTTAAGTTGTGCAAAACTCAAATGAGTGAGTTTTCTATTTTTGGAAATATACATATATTTTATGCTTATAAATATATGTGCTGCATTTTTTCATAAATTATACTAGATATAATTTGTGAAAATTCTGCTCAACATGCTTATATTTCCCAATTGACATGGGAAAACATTTATGTACAGCCAGTTTATTCACGTGTAATCTCGTAATTATAACACTTTAATACAAAATCTGAAATAAATTACAAAAAGCAATTTTCACATAATTGGAAAAGTGCTCATGCATATTTATTACTCCAAGTTGTACAAAAATAATTCTTTTCACATTTCTGCACTTCTTGGAAACTATGAAATTTAAAAGATGAAAAGAAAAACACTGAGCATGCCAAATGTGTAGATAAACACTTTCTTCTTTATTTCTAACACTTCATTTTCAATCTATTTCTAGAGAAGCAATAAACTGACACATATCATATTCCAGTACATTTTGCTCACTGAAATGTTGGCATGTTTGACACTCAATTGTGTCAATTTATCACGAGCATCCAGATTTTAGAACATATCACTGACATGATTTTCAGCAAGCAGTCTACTAACAGAAATGGTGTTAGTTTAATAATATAAAATAAGTTGAGGGAGCAGACTTGGGTTTTTGAAATATTTCCAGCTTCATTTTAAGAAATTGACAGTTATTTAATCCTTTAGTTTCTGACAAATAGTGGAAAATACTGAAGATTACATGATAAAATGAGGACATAAGATCAAGTTATCATACTATTAAAAAAACTTCTCTACTGGAGGAATAAGACTTCAATAAATATAAAAGAAATAATGTTTTGTGTTAAAAAATTATAAATCAGTTTTATAAAATAATACTAAATTGACCATTTATTCAAACAAGATAGAGAATATCTTACTGATCACAACTTTCTTTCTCTCCAGAATCATTGTCTACTGCTGTTAGTCTTAAACTTCACAGCCTAGCTATCCAGAACTCCTCCAAATTCTCCACACATACAGCATACTGTTTCACACCTGTACTTGTGCTCATATTAATCTCCTTGTTGAGACTTTCATCAAAAAGCCTGTCTTTTAACACATCGCCCAACACTTGCCTAACACGTTAGGCAAGAAACTTTTTCTCTATTGTCCCATGATACTCCACGCCTAGTTTTGCCACTTTAAATAACATACTATAATAACCTTTTTAGGTGTCAATTTCTCCTAAATGTCTAATATGTCTTAAATATATAAGCTATTTCTGCCCATTTTTGTAATCCTCTGCAAATTCCTGAACTTCTATTGATCCCTGTTGTGGGGTAATAACCAAAATTACATCCTCACTTTCCTGCTTCATTCCTGGTATAGCTAACAGCCTCTACCACATCGGAGTCTGTTCCCAGCTGGAGGAGATGAAAGAATGGCTGCTTTCTTGTTGCCTTCACCTGGTAGTAATCATGCTAGACAGACTCTTTTCTCTAGAGCTTTCTTTCCACATCACAAGATCTCTAAGCATGACTAACTTAAGTGCACTCTAACTTCTGAATTGCAGCCCAGTTGCCCTCCTCCCAGAATACCAAAGCAACCACCATAGTTATTGGTCACTGTCATTGCTTTTGCAATAAAATTTACTGATGACTTCATAATGATGTTAGGTTTTCAATTATGAATATTAACATTTCTTTAAACAGTCAGCTTTCACTTTGCCAACAAAACATACTACTACATTTTTGTAATCTAACATTGGCAGAAGAGGCAAAAAGGCAAGAGATTCCTCTACCTACTGAGCCAGTATTAAAGATAATCAAAGCACTTGTGAGGTTCTTCCTCCCCAGAAAAGAGATGTCAGTGCTGTCACCACTAACTAGCAGAGTGCATCATCCAGACATTACTGTCATCCACGCATCACTTGTAGCTCAAAAATTTCAAGTTAAGTTCCTATTCAAAAAGAGTTAAGGGTCTTGACTCTCTAGCTTTTCCCATTTGACAAATATTACAACTTATATAAGAAATCAGCATCTTGAGGATTCATCACCAAGTAGCACAAGATGGAGAAAAAAGAATGGAGTTAGCAAAAAAACCCAACTTCCTCCTTTCCTCTTGGCCATTTACCTAAATAATGCACTGCTGGAACTACCAGTTTAGCCAGATTAAATGTTTAGTTAAGCAGTCTCCTGGAGGATCAAAAGCATCACACTCTAGCACATCATAGCCATCATACAGAGAGGAATCCAATCTCTCTTTCCAGTGAGTTCCCCACCCTTGACTGTCCAACAGGCAGGGTCCCTGGCTTGGGACCACAGAGCAGCCACCCCACCAGTGATGAGCATACTCACTGGTAGTGACTCTGTGTTTCCCTAGGGAGGGACTCCCAGAGGCAACCAACAGCCCCTCTGCCACTGCCACAGCCATGGTTTTCCCCGTTGCCCCTGTTGTCCTCAGTCTGGGAAAGAAACAAAGAGCCCAAGGGCTTCACCCAAGCTTCCAGCATACCACAGTTACCACAGAAAGAGGAGCCCAGTATCTCATCCCTGTGTGCCTTTGATCCCCCACTCTCTAACAAACAGAGGCTGCTGTTCGGGCAAGCAGAGCAGCTGCCCCATCCCCTGGCTGAACATTCCCAGTAGCAGTGGCTCTGTGTTTCTCTGAGGTGCAGCTCCAAGAGGCAACTGAAAGCCCCTCTGCCACTGTTCCTGTAGTGGTACTGCCGTTTCTGCCCTCAGGCCGAGGAAGGAGCAAAGACTCTGAGTGCTTTAACCACACCTCCAACAAGCTGTAGTAACCCTAAAGAAAAGAAGCCAGTCTGTCTCCCCAAGCCCCACCCACCCCTGCTATTTGTTGCAAGGCAGGGCCCCACTTACTTGGTCTCACAGCACAGCTGCCCCATCCTAGGCCAATCATACTGATTGATAGCAGCTCTGCGTCTTTCTGAGGTGGAGCTCCAAGAGACAAGTGAAAAACCCTCTGTCACAACCACTGCTAACTTTCCTTCCTCTGATTCCTCCAAGATGGGAAGGGATATAAAGCTTGAGATTGTCCCAGAGCTGTGGTGTGCAGCTTGGGAGTGCCAAGCCAAGATTTTCAGCCAGCAATCAAGAGGGAGAGGAGCCCAAGATTTCAGAGCACTAAGAGGGAGCACAGAAACAACTGTGAAGAGCCACATGACTGAGCAACAGCCTACCTACTGGAAATTATGCTTAAGCACCACCTACTGGATCACGGCCCAAAACATCAACACCAAAATACTCTGCTAATATACCTCCCTGTGAAACCCAGGACAAAAATTTCACTGCAAATAAAGACTGAACAAAGCCTTGGCCCTCTGAAAACACACAGAAAAGAAATCTACTGACTGTAATCAATTTATACCCTAGTTAAAGGAACACCAGCCCACACTGATGAGAAAGAAAAAGCACAAGAACTCTTACAACTCAAAAAGGCATCGTGGCTTCTTTCCTCCAAATGAACACACTAATTTCCCACCAGGGGTTCTTTAGCAGGCTGAAATGGCCAAAATGACAAAGATCATCAAGATTCAGGAGAATGTCGAAACCCAATCCAAGGAAGCTAAGAATTATAATAAAATGAAACAGGAGCTGTTAAATAAAATAAACATTTTTTAAAAAAGAACAAACTGACCTGATAGAGCTGAAAAACACACTCCAAGAATTGCATAATGTGAGTATTAACAGCAGAACCGACCAAGCCAAGGAAAGAATCACAAAGCTCAAAGGCTGGCTCTCTAAAATAACCCAGTCAGACAAGATTGAAGAAAAAAAAATAAAAAGAATGAACAAAATCTCCAAGAGATAGGAGATTAGGCAAAGAGAACAAATCTACAACTCATTGGTTTATGTGAAGGAGACAGGGAGGAAGCAAGCAACTTGGAAAACATATTTCAGGTTATTGTTCATGAAAGCTTTCTCAATCTCACTAGAGAGGCCAACATTCAAATTCAGGAAATGCAGAGAATGCCTGCACGCTATTATATAAGAAGACCATTCCTAAGACACATAATCATCAAATTCTTCAAGGTCAAAATGAAAGAAAAAAACTGTTAAAGGCAGCTAAAGAGAAGGGACAAGCCACCTACTAAGGAAACTCCATCAACCTAACAGCGGAGCTTTCAGCAGAAACTCTACAAGCCAGAAGAGATTGGGTGCCTATATTCAACATTCTTAAAGAAAAATTTTCAAACAAGAATTTTATTGCAGCCAAACTGAGCTTCATAAGTGGAGAAAGAAGATTCTTTTCAGACAAGCAAATGCTGAGGGAATTTATTGCCACCAGATCTGCCTTAAAAGAGGTGTATTTTGCTAAATACAAAAAGAAAAGATTATCATCAGCCACTACAAAAACACATTTAAGTACACAGATCAGTGATACTGTAAAGCAACCACACAAACCAGTTGGTGTATAATAACTAGCTAAGAACACAATGAAAGGATCAAATCCACACATATCAGTACTAACCTTAAATGTAAATGGGATAAATTCCCCAATTAAAAGACACAGAGTGACAAGCTAGATAAAGAAGCAACACTCAATTGTATGCTATCTTCCAGAGACCCATCTCCCATGAAATAACATGCATAGGCTGAAAATAATTTGATGGAAATAATCTATCAAACAAATGGAAAACAGACAAAATCAGAGGTTATAATCCTAATTTCAGACCAAACAGACTTTAAACAAAAAAAGATTAAAAAAAAAAAAAAAAAAGAAAGGCATGACATAATGTTTGTATTAGTCTATTCTCACGTTGCTATAAAGAACTACCTGAGACTGGGTCATTTATAAAGAAAAGAGGTTTAATTTATTCACAGTTCCACAGCCCACACAGGAGGCTGAGAAGGCCTCAGGAAAATTACTATCATAATGGAAGGTGAAGGGGAAGCAAGAGCATATTCACATGGCAATAGAAGAGAAAAACAGTGAAAAAGAAAGTGCCAAATACTTTAAAACCATCATATGTCAAAATAACTCCTCACTATAATGAGAATAGCAGGGAGAAATCTGCCTCCATGCTCCAATCACCTCCCACTACATTCCTCTCCTGACATTGGGAATTACAATTCAACATGAAATTTGTGTGGGGATGCAGAGAAAAACCATATTACTGTCCTCCTGGTCCCTCCCAAATCTCATGTCCTTCTCACATTTCAAAAGACAATCATGCCTTTCCAACAGTTCCCCAAAGTCTTAACTTATTCCAGCATTAACTCAAAAGTCCAAGTCCAAATCTCATCTGAGACATGGCAAGTCCCTTCCACCTATGAGCTTGTAAAATAAAAAAACAAGTTAGTTACTTCCAACACACAATGGAAGTACAGGCATTGGGTAAATCCTCCCATTCCAAATTTAAAAAATTGGTCAAAACAAAGGGGCTTCAGGTCCCATGCCAGTCTAAAAACTAGGAAGTCATTAAATCTAAAATTCCAAAATAATCCCTTTTGACTCCATGTCTCACATCTAGGGCATGCCGATTCAACGAATGGGCTCTCACAGCCTTGAGTAGCTCCAATCCTGCAGCTTGCAGGGTACAGCTTGTGGAGCTGCTTTCATGGGCTAGCATAGAGTTCCTGTGACTTTTCCAGGTTCACAGTGCAAGCTGTTGGTGGCTCCACCATTCTGGGGTCTGGAGGATGGTGGCCTTCTTCTCACAGCTCCACTAGGCAGTGCTCCAGTGGGGACTCTGTGTGGGAGTTCCAATCCCATATTTCCCCTCTGTGCTACCCTAGAAGAGGTTCTCCATGAGGGCTCCACTTCTGCAACAGACTTCTGCGTGGACATCCAGGCATTCCATATATCCTCTGAAATCTAGGCAGAGGCCCTCAAACATCAGCTCTTGCCTTCTGTGCACCTGCAGGTCCAACACCAAGTGGAAGCCACCAAACCTTCTGAGGGTACAACGTCCTGAGCTGTACCTTTGCCCCTTTTAGCCACAGCTGGAGCTGGAGTGGCTGGGACAGAGGGCACCATGTCATGAACTTACACAGAGCAGCAGGGCCCTGATCCTGGCCCAGGAAACCATTTTTCTCTCCTAGGTATTCAGACCTGTGATGGGAGGGGCTACTGCAAAGATCTGTGAAATACTTTGGAGTTGGAGGCATTTTCCCAATCGTCTTAGCTATTAACATTAGATGCTTCTTTACTTATGCAAATTTTAGCAGCTGGCTTAAATTTCTCCCCCCAAAATAAGTTTTCCTTTTCTATCACATGGTCACACTGCAAATTTTCCAAACTTTTATGCTCTGCTTCCCTTTTAAATATAAGTTCCAGTTTCAGCTAATCTCTTCGTTCATTTGTATGAGTGTATGCTATTAGAATGCTACATCACCTTTTGAATGCTTTGCTGTTTAGAAATCTTTTCCACCAGGTATCTTAAATCATCTCTCAAGTTCAAAGTTCTGCAGATCTCTAGAACAGGGTCACAAGGCCACCAGTTTCTCTGCTAAAGCATAGCAAGAGTGACCTTTACTCAAGTTCCCAAAGAGTTCTTTATATCCATTCAAGACTACCTCAGCCTGGACTTTACTGTCCATATCACTATCAGCATTTTGGTCAAAACCATTTAACAAGTCTCTAGAAAGTTCCAAACCTTCCCTCATATTCCTGTCTTCTTCTGAGCCCTCCAAATTGTTCCAACCTGTTACCCAGTTTCAAAGCTGTTTCCACATTTTCAGGTATCTTGATAGCAAGAGCCTACTTCTCTGGTACCAATTTTCTGTATTAGTCTGTTCTCACAGTGCTATGAATAACTACCTGAGACTCGGTAATTTGTGAAGAAAAGAGGTTTAATTGGCTCACAGTTCCACAGGCTGTACAGGAGGTGTAGCTGAAGAGGCCTTAGGATACTTACTCATGGTGGAAGGTAAAGGGGAAGCAAGGACACCTTCACATGGTGATAGGAGAGATAGAGAGTGAAGGAGAAAGTGTTACAGACTATAAACCACCAGATCTCATGAGAACTCACTCACTATCATGAGAATAGCAAGGGGAAAATCCACCCCCATGATCCCATCACCTTCCAAGAGGTATCTCCTTCAACATTGGGAATTATAATTCAACATGAGATTTGGGTGGGGATACAGAGCCAAACTATATCAATGGTAAGGGGTTCAATTCAACAAGAAAACCTAATTATTCTAAATATATACTCATCCAATACAGGAGCACACAGATTCATAAAGCATATTCTTAGAGATCTATGAGGAGACATAGATTCTCACGCAATAATACTGGGAGATTTCAACACCTCCCTGACAGTATTAGACAGATCATTGAGGCAGAAAATTAACAAAGATATTCAGGACTTGAACTCAGCTCTGGATCAAGTGGGCCTGATAGGTATCTACAGAACCCTCCACCTAAAACCAAGAAAATGTACATTCTTCTTATTGCCACATGGCACTGACTCTAAAATTGATTACATAATCACAAGTAAAACACTCCTCAACAAATGCAAAAGAACTGAAATCATAATGAATAGTCTCTCAGGCCACAGCACAATCAAATTAGATTTCAAGATTAGGAAATTAACTCAAAACCACACAATTACATGGAAATTGAATGACCAACTCCTAAATGACTCTTAGGTTAAACAATGTAATTAAGGCAGAAATCAATAAGTTATTTGAAACTAATAAGAACCAAGATATGACATAACAGAATCTCTGAGACACACCTATGCAGTGTTAATAGGGTAGTTTATAGCACTGATTGCCCACATCAAAAAGTTAAAAAGATCTCAATTTAACCACCTAATGTCACAACTGGAAAAATTAAAAAAGCAAGAGCAAATCAACCCCAAAGCTAGCAGAAGACAAGAAATAACTAAAATTAGACCTGAACTGAAGGTAATCGAGACAGGAAAAAACAAACCAAACATCAGTGAATCTAGGACTTGGTTCTTTGAAAAAGTTATTAGTTAGACCACTAGCTAGACTAATAAAGAAAACAAGAGAGAAGATCCAAACAAAGACAATTGAAAATGACAAAGAGGACATTACCACCAACCCCACATAAACACAGATAACCAGCAGAGGCTACTATGAACACTTCTAGACAAACAAATTAGAAAATCTGGAAGAAATAGATAAATTCCTGACACATACCACCTCACAATACTGAACCAGGAAGACATTGAATACCCAAACAAGCCATTAACAAGTTTTGAAACTGAATTAGTAAAAAAGCTTGTCAACCAATAAAAGCCCAGGACCAGACAGATTCAGAACTGAATTCTACCATATGTATAAAGAACAGCTAGTGCCATTTCTACTAAACTATTTCAAAAAGATTAGTAGAAGGAACTGCTCTTCAACTCATTCTGTGAAGCCAGCACCATCCTGATACCAAAACCTGGCAGAGGCACAGCAACGTTAACAGAAAACTTCAGGCCAATGTCCTTGATGAACATAGATTCAAAAATCCTCAACAAAATACTAGCAAACTAAATCCTGCAGCACATCAAAAGCTAATCCACTGCAATCAAGTAGGTTTTATCCCTGGGATGCAACGTTGGTTCAATATATGCAAACCAATAAATCTTATTCATCACATAAACAGAACTAAAAACAAAAACCACATGATTATCTCAATAGATGCAGAAAAGGCTTTCAAAAATTTAGCATTTCTTAATTTTAAAAGCTCTCAGTAAGCTAGGTAGTGAAGGAACATATTTCAAAATAATAAGAGCCATCTATGACAAGCCCATAGCCCTTATACTGAAAGGGCAAAAGCTGGAAGCATTCCAGTCGAAAACTGGCACGAGACAAGAATGCGCCCTCTCACCACTCCTGTTTAACATATTATTGGAAGTCCTAGCCAGAGCAATCGGGCAATATAAGTAAATGAAAGGCACCCAAATAGGAAGAGAGGGAGTCAAACTATCCCTGTTTGCAGATGACTTGATTCTATATTTAGAAAAACCCCTAATCTCAGCCTGAAAGCTCCCTGATCTGATAAACAACTTCAGCAGTTTCAGTATACACAATCTATATAGAAAATTAGTAACATTTCTATACCCAACAACATGCAAGCTGAGAGCCAAATCAGGCATGCATTCCCATTCACAACTGCCACACACACACCTAGGAATACAGCTAACCAGGGAGGTAAAAGATCTCTACAAGGAGAATTGCAAAACACTCCTCAAGAAAAACAGAGATGGCAGAAACGAAAGGAAAAATATTCCATGCTCATAGATAGGAAGAACTGATATTTTTAAAATGACCATACCGCCCAAAACAATTTAGAGATTCAATGCTACTTGCATTAAATTCCTAATGACATTCTTCACACAACTAGAAAAAAAAAGTAAAAATTAATATGAAACCAAAAAAGAGTCTGAATAGCCATGGCAATCTTAAGCAAAAAGAACAAAGCTAGAGGTATTATATTACCTTACTTCAAACTATACTACAAGGCTATAGTAACTAAAACAGCATGGTGAAGATACAAAAACAGATGTATAGATCAATGAAACAGAATAGAGATCTCAGAAATAATGCTATACACTTACAAAAATCTGATCTTTGACAAAGCTGACAAAAACAAGCAATGGGAAAAGGACTCCCTATTCAATAAACATTGCTGGGATAGCCAGCGGCCATATGCAGAAGATTGAAACTGGGCCACTACTTTATACCATACACAAAAATCATCTCAAGATGGAATAAAGACTTAAATGTAAAACCTAAACCTATAAAAACCATGGAAGAAAACCTAGAACATATCATTGTGGAAACAGGGTAGATTTCATGACCAAGACACCAAAAGCAATCACGATAAAAATAAAAATTGACAAATGGAACATAATTAAACTAAAGACCTTCTGCATGGCAAAATAAACTATCAGTAGAGTAAACAGACAACCTACAGAATGGGAGAAAATATTTGCAAACTGTGCATCTGACACAGCTCTAATATTCAGAATCCATAAGGATTTTAGACAAATTAAAGAGAAAAAACAACCCCATTAAAAAGTGGACAAAGGACAGCAACAGGTATCTTTCAAAAGAAGACACACATGTGCCTAAGAAGCATATGAAAAAATGCTGAACAGCACTAATCACCAGAGAAATGCAAATCCAAATCTCCATAAGATATCATCTTACACCAGTCACAGTGGCTATTAAAAAATCAAACAATAACAGATGCTGGCAAGGTTGCAGAGAAAACGGAATGCTTATGCACTGCTGGTGGGAGTGTAAATTAGTTCAGCCATTGTGGAAAACAGTGTGGCTATTTCTCACAGAGCTTAAAACTGAATTACCATTCGACCCAGCAAACCCATTATTGGGCATATACCCAAGAAAATAGAAATTATTCTACCATTAACACGCAATGCATGTGTATGTTCATCACAGCAATATTCACAATAGCAAAGACATGGAATCAATCTAAATTATCATCTTTGATATACTGGATTAAAAAATTTAGTACATATATACCATGGAATACTATGCAACCATAAATAAAAAACAAGATTATGCCCTTTGCAGTAACATGCATGGAGGTGGAAGCCATTATTCTAAGCAAATTAATGCAGGAACAGAAAACCAAATACCTCATGTTCTCACTTATAAGTGGGAGTTAAACAATGAGGACACATGGACACTAAGAGGGGAACAACTGACATTGGGGCTTACTTGATGATGGAGAGTTGGAGAGAGAGTATGAGAAAAACTGCGTAAAGGGTACTATACTTATTACCTGGGTTACTAAATAATCTGTACACCAAACCCACATGACACACATTTTATCTATATAACAAACCTGCACATGTATCCCTGAACCTAAAATAAAAATTAAAAAAAGTTTATTAAAAAAAGCACCACCACAAATGAAATTAGATAGTCCAATACATATACTTCACCATAGTTTCACCAAATTTTCCTTGTAGAAAGAGTGATACATAAGTTAAAGATTGATGTTCTAATACACCGCTTGGGATGGTGTCACCCCCCTGCCCCAGTTGCTCCAGTTGCTTTGTGAAAAATCTAATGAACTCTAGTACATTGATCTTGTGAAGTGTATTATGAATCTTCAGTCCACAGCTGAAGTACATGAGATAAAATCAAATAGATTGACATTCAAAAATAGTCTACCAATTAATATTTACCAAAATACTTTACATTAGGTACTATTTCACACAGTTTACATATAAGAAACCTGGAACTGAAATGCGTAAGGTTCCTACTAAAGGGCTCCCTATATTAAACAAAAGAGATGTGTTTCAATCTTAAAACTATTTTAACTTAAATCCTACATTGTTTCTACTCCAGAATCTCTAAAATAATACAAATGAATACATAGATTTTCATTAAAATGCTGTGCACCTTAATCTTTAATAACCAAAATATAATTATTACATAAAACAGTAATGCTTAACCCAAAGCCTGCATGTCCCATGTAAACCAACGAGCTTGACTGCCCAGCTCTAGACCTAATTTCACATCCAAACCCTCATTTTCTCTATAGGAAAAGAAAACTCAGAGTCAGTAATAGTGCAGAACATTATACCATCTGATTATTAAGAGGTTTATCCCTCTACTTATGGCTCCAGTAGAGGAAAGAGATTCCAATCAACTGAGCTTTTCTTTAGGTGGTTATTAGCTGTTGACCTGTACTATCAGTATCCAAAGACCTAAAAATTTCTGGAAATATTCATGCCGGCATTTGAATTACAACTGGGTGTGAGACCTGGGGCTGAAGGTACCTCTTCCTAACTCAGAAGACGAAGTGACCTACGCTGAAAGCTACTTTACATTGTTTATAATAAAATCAGTATATTCAATATAAGAGAATATTATCTTAAATCATACAAGCTTTAGGGGTACTATGAGACTCTGCATTTTGCAAATAAGTAACAACATGACTAGAAAACATATTTGTCTCACTCAGCAACACTTTTTTATAAAGACAAATAATTATAATGTTACTGCAAACCTACTATACTTACAGCAGAGCTGCAAAGACACTACAGAGAGTTCTTACATACCCTTAACTCAACCTCCATTATGTACATACTTTGTATAAAAATTTATTTTGATACATTTATCAAAAAAGAAATGAAAGTTGGCATAATACTACTAATTAAACTACAGATTTTAGTCAGAAGTGACCCGTTTTTCCACAAATGTTCTTTTTCAAGTCCAGAATCTAATCCATGCATATATCTACATTGCACTTAGTTGCTATGTCTTAGTCCTCCATTCTGTGATACTGTCTAGTTTATTCCTTGTCTTTTATGTTCTTCACCATTTTGAAGATTACCAGTCATGTATGTAGTAGAACATCTCCCAGTACAGGTTTCTGAGATTTTTTATTATTATTAGACTGGAATTATGAACTTTTTGGAAGAATGCCTTTCTCATATACATGGTATCAACATAACTTAGTAATGGCTTAGTGATTTTGGGTTCCAAGATTTATTTTCCTTTTATGATAGAAAACCATTACAACAACACAGTAATAATTGCTGCCAGTTAAATCCATTGGTGGATGCTAAAAATTAATTGTAAAAAATTTTTAGAAAAGCATTTTCAGAGCTTCAAAGATTTGTCTGCTCTATACATTTAAAAAATATTATCTCATGTATTTGTATCAATAAACATCATCAATTTTTTTTTTGGTTTATAAGCCTGTACTATTATTATTTATTTATTTATTGAAATGGTTTCTACTCCTTTATGTGGGCTTCTATGTCCTTTTGATATGACGCTTTTTTTTTTCACTTACATATTATAGTAGTAGATAATGTTCCAGGCTAATCTTATAATTTTTCTGTACCAGTCCTGGAATTAACGTTGGCTTCCTTTCTTGGAGGATGGTATTAGAAACCAAGATCTAGGTAGTAGATGTGATCAAAGTTACTCAGATGTCATAACTTCATGTACCTTTAAATAGACAAAAGCTGGAAAATATGTACATACACACACATACATACATATGTATTTATATCACTATTTCATATGTTATGTACATTATATATAATATGATACGTATACTTCCATACTTAGTATACTAAGTATTATAAAATGTGAAACTATTATATATTATGTATAGATATGCTCAACATATAGAGATTGTGTGTTTATACATGCTAATTCATTTATACATATATACTGGTATTAGTCTTCATATGTATATATATAAAATACGAGTTTTACTAATATCTTAGACGATTCCAGCAAAACAGGGTTAATTCTAGCCTTCTTGACTTAATTATTATTGTAACTTTTTCTTTGACATTGAGAAACCTGGACCTCATTATCTACAATGTGTGCACTTATTTATTTAACCCTAATTTATACATAGTGTCAGGTTTTCTAATCTGTACCACAATGAGAAAGATATTATCAACTATACTACAGCTTCTATGTACATTTTAGTTTTTGCTTTCACCTCACAAACTCTTGCCAAAACATTGTTTTCCTGCTATTTATTTCAGCTTCCTTTTTCCCTAGCCACTTTGGTAAGATTATCTAATATACTTGAAATACAGTTAAATACAATTACTACAGTTTTTAATCCATACTGGCTCTTCCCACATTCCACTGTGAGATATATATATAGATATATAGATATATATTTGCATAAACATTTATTACTGGTTATGACAAATGTAATTTGCCTACATGACAAATGTAATTATTATGGTTTTGACAAATGTAAAGAATGTGTGTCCACCACAAAGAGATGTGTCCACCAAAACTATACTATCCATAAAAGTTTCATCAGACTAAACATTTCTTTGTGCAGTCCCTTTATAGTCAACTTCCTGGTAATCCAATCCCTGGCAAACACTGACATGTTTTTCATCCCAATAATTTTGATTTTGCCCAAAAATCATATAAAGGCACCAGATGATATGTAAGCTTATGCATCTGATTTCTTATACCTTGCAAAATGCATTTAAGATCAATCCTTATTATTGCATCAATCAATAATTAATTCTAATTAATTGCTGGGTTATACTTCATTGTCTAGATTATATTACTTAGGTTTAGGGTTTTTACATTTCTACTTATTGTTTATGGAGAATATTTATCATGACTAGCTGTCAAATGCTTTTTTGCATTTATTGAGATTATCATATGGCTTTTCTTATTTACTTTTGTAAATAAATTATATTTGAATTATATCTATTGATTTTGATTGTTAAACAGCTTGGAATTCTTATGGTAAACTATACATAGTCATAATGTATAATTTTACACACAGACATGTTATGTGTATATATACACACATATGTGTGCATATATGTGTGTGTGAGTATATATGCTGATGATTTCAATTTTAATATTTTAGTAATTATTGTATCTTTATGTTCATCAGGGATCTTGATCTGCAGTTTTTTGAGGTGTTTTTTTTTTCCTTATGATGTCTTTGCCTGTCTTTGGTATTAGCAAAATGCTGGCCTCATACAATGAGTTGTGAAATATTCTTTACTCTTCTACTTACTGAAAAATATTGTATAGAATGGGTATTTTTTTCTTTCTTAAATGGTTGGTGGGATTGCCAATAAAGCCATATGGTCCTGGAGGTTTTTTATTACAAGTTTGATTCTTTAGTAGATGTAGAGCTGTTCAGATTATCTATTGTTTCTTGAGTGGATTTTTATAGTTGTTTCTGTCTTTCAGGGAATGAGTTAGTTTAGTCTAATCTAAGGTGTCAAGTGTATGGGCATAGAATTGTTTATAGTAATTGCTTATTATCACTTTAAAGTCAGCATCAATAGTGATCCATTCTTGCATTCCTGGTAATGGTAATATATGTCTTCTCTCTATTTCTCTTGTTCAGTGCATCAATGTTCTATTCCTTTGTAAAAACTTGTCACAAATATGGAGGCTTAAAAAACACACACGTATTATTCCCTGTTGCTATGGGTCAGGGTTCTGAGTATAGCTGAAGTGGATCCTCTGCTTAAGATCTCACAAGATTACAATCAACATATCACTGGGTTGTGTACTTATCTGGAGGCTCAAGTGGAGAAAAATCCTCTCCTAAGCTCACTTAGGTTGTTGGTAGAATTTATTGTCTTGTGACTGTAGGTTTTAGGTTCCCCAGTTCCTTGCTGACTTCCAGTTAAGGCAGCACTCAGCTTCTAGAGACTGCCTGCACCTCCAAGAGGATGTCTACAGTTTCTTGCCACATGGCTTTCCTCAATGTGGCCACATATTTCATGAAGTTAGCAAGGAGAATCTTTGCTACCAAAACAGAGATTTGCATAACCTACTGTAAATATGGGAGTGAAATCTTATCCCATTTGCAAGATCATATTGATTAGAAGCAAATTGTAGGTGCCATCCACACTAAAGAGGAGAGAATTATACAAGGGTGTAAACACCAGGAGGTAAAAATCTAGGGGGTCATTAGAGTTTTCCCACCACGGTCAGTTTGGCTAGACATTTGTCAATTTTATTGATCTTAAAGAACTACTTTTTGTCTCACTGATTTTTCTGTTATTATTCTGTTTACAATTTTATTTACATGTATTCTAATTATTCTTATTACCTTACTTAAACTTCCTATTTAATTATTTTTTTTAGTACGTGAAGGATAAAGTTTAGCATACTTACTTCAGTCTTGCTTTTTAAATAAGTATTCACTGTTATACATTTCTCTGTAACATATGTCTTTGCTACATTCCACAAATTTTATTATGTTGTATTTTAACTTTTCATTCACTTCAATTTTTAAATTTTCTTTTGAGATGTACTCTTTGACCCACAGATTATGTAGAAATTTGCAGTACAATTCCCAGTTACTTTGAGATTTTCTAGTTATCTTTGTATTGGCTTTTGCTCAAACTTGCTATTGAGTAAGAAGATACTTTGTATAATTTGTATTATTTAAAATTTGCAAAAGTTTGTTTAATGGCCCAGAATATGGTCTACCTGGGTGAATGTTTCATGTGTTCTTGAGAAAAACATATATTCATTCAGTTGTTATTGATGTGTTCTATAAACATAAATTAGGTCAAATTGATAGATAGTGAAGTTCAAGACACCTATATACATACTGATTTTTCTCTTACTTGTTCTACCAGTTACTAGAAAAGAAATATTAAAACATCTAAATATAATTATGAATTTGTCCATTTTTCTTTGAACTACAGTAGTTACTACTTCTTATATTTCGAAGCTCTGGATATATATATATTCATCTGCTGTATAATAATGTTTCAGTCAACATCAGACTGCATATAAGATGGTAGTCCCATAAGATTATAATACTTTATTTTTACCGTATCTGTTCTATGCTTAGATATATTTAGATATGCAAATATTTACAATTGTGTTACAAATGTTTACAGTATTCAGTACAGTAATATGCTGTAAAGGTTTGTAACCTAGGAACAATAGGCTATAGGCCTGTAGTAGGCTATAACCACCTAGGTTTCTAGAAGTATACTCTATGATGTTCCCACAGCACTAAATTACCTAACAATGCATTTCTCTAAAAGTATCCCCATCATTAAATGATGCACGACATTTTGTGTGTATATATACGTATATACACAGGCGTGTGTGTGTACATACGTATATACACAGGCGTGTGTGTGTACATACGTATATACACAGGCTTGTGTGTGTACATACGTATATACACAGACGTGTGTGTGTACATACGTATATACACAGACGTGTGTGTGTACATATGTATATACACAGGCGTGTGTGTGTATATACGTATATGCACGCTTGTGTGTGTATATACGTATATGCACGCGTGTGTGTGTATACGTATATGCACGCGTGTGTGTGTATATATACGTATATGCACGCGTGTGTGTGTGTATATACGTATATACACATGTGTATGTATATAATTATGCAATTTTAAAGTCTAAAATAACAAACTTATAAATTTTCTGTAATTATTTGAAATGTTGATATTCTCTCTTAAATGAAAAACCGAAATGAAGTTATCAGATTGCTAATAGAATTAAAATTTGAGTGCTTCTTTAAGCCTCAGTGTTTAACTTAAAACTATTAGAATAATAATAGCACACTTTCAATAGAAAAGCAGCTGCTGACAGCCAGGACCTTGTATAACAGGAACAGCTAGGTCTTGGTGTACTTCTGATGAACCTAATCATTCTCACAGATCACCAACCTCAGATAAGGTCACTAGTGACAATGATTAAGAGAGTCATCATGCCTGAGCACAAATTAAAAACAAGGTCACAGTGCAAACTATATAAATGACCAAACATATATTTTCATGCTAACTTGGATTACTTATGCTTCCTAAGCGATTAGAATTTCAGTCTCCTTCTATTATTCCAGCTTCATCAACAAGGTTCTTTAAGACACTCAATCATAGAATTATCTCTGTCTCTGAATAATTACACACCCAGACTGACCCTCAATTCCTTAATCCTTCCCTAAAATCACTTAACACAAAGCCAAATCCTAAAATAAGCTATTCCTAACACCTTATTAAGACACTTCAGAGTTTCCCAAAGGCAGCTATCTCCTTGCTATCACAAGCATCAGAATGTCTAAATTTGATTACAGTTTTATTCCTGGTGTGATTTGATAGTTGGTTATTAACAGACATAACATAGAGTTATAACAAGAATTAACTGGAGTAGTAATACAAAATATCTAGCATGGTCACTGTCATATGATAAACACTAATTTTTTAGTGTAACTGATTTTCATTTGAAACAATTTAGCAAAGAAGCTGTATTCTTGTCATCTTTGTGTTTCTTCTATAAAACAAAGTACTTGAAAAGTAATAGACATTCAATGAATATTTGTTGAATAAATAGATTACTTGTATTTAAATATTAATAACAAAGATTTAGAAATTATAAAAGGTTATAATGAAGACATCATACACAATGTAGAAGAAAGTTTGTAATGAGTAAGATGGCAAAAATAGTAGAACCATGGAATAAGAGAATTTAGTCTCAAAGTGACTGTGAAGATACTCTTACTAATATTACTCCAAGTACACACAACTGAAATTTGTTTTCCATTTCTCATTAGATGATATATTGAAAGAGTATTGGCTTTAACATTACATTATAAGGTCCCTGAAGAGTTATTTTCCATTCACGCTCCCACATCACATTCCTATTCCAAAATAGGCTAATAGATTCTTCCAGAACTCATGGCCTATATAAATAGTGATTGGTTTCCTTTGAGACCTCACATGATCTTATTCCCAATGCAAAGTTATAATACGAATTTCAGCTAACTCACATTTGGATTCAGCACCATTTTCCTAAGATTTCAGACTAGCATTGAATTTGTTAGATTGACCAAATTTAGGCCTCTGGGATACCATTTGGTACACTAGAGCATAAGTCTCTATTAAACTAATGATGCACTAAATGGCATGCAAATGACCTGAAAGAATAAATATGTCTCCTTGAGAGCAGGACTTCTAGCTGAGGAGAGACTTGGATGTCAGGGAAAAAAATTGCTCATCAATGTGCCAACCATCAACTACATAATCAATAATCTCAGAACCCAGGTTTCTTTATGTAGTGAGGTATTAATGTATTATTAATATTCATTTTAAACATTGATAAGGTACATCTTGTTAGCTAACTAAAACACTATTTCTGCTAGATAAATACAAAAGAAAGTAAATTTCCCATATATTTCTGTCAATTGATTAGCTTATAGACTGATTTACTAGCATTATATTTAATTAAAACCCTATTTGGTATTAATGGGAAGAAGTACTGTTTATAAACATTAACTTGATTTTCTCAATCCTCCCTTTCACCTCAAAATTTATCTGTATATTAAAAAAATAAGTTTCTCTTGCTTTGAGAAACCCAGCCGAGGCAGGAGGATCACTTGAACTCAGGGGTTTGAGACCAGCCTGGTCGACATAGCGAAACCCTGTCTCTACAAAAAATACAAAACTTAGCTGAGCGTAATGGAATGCGCCTTTAGTCCCAGCTACTTGGGAGGCTGAGGTGGGAGGATCACTTGAACCCAGGAGGAGAAGGTTGAATTGAGCCAAGACCATGCCCAGCCTGGATGAGAGAGACCCTGTCTCAAAAAACAATAAAAAGAAATAAAAAAGAAACCCATACACACATATTTACACACACTTAATATATCCAGTTAAATTGTGCAAAACTATCAATAAATTAAAGATTCCTTACTAATGTTAGAAATTAGAGTTTTTTCAATAAAAAATTTCAATTAAGAAGCTACATTGACTAACAGCTATAATAACAATACTAATTTTGAGTATCTCCCATGTGACTAAACTGCTTATTTAAATTTTTATTGGAAACCATTATATATTCACAAGAATTTTCAAAAATAATACAGAGTTTTGTGTGCCCCATACCTAACTTCACCCAGTTATGCCATGTAACTGTAGTACAATAGCAACACCAGAAAATTGACATTAACATATTACTTGGTAACTAGATTGCATCCTTTTTTAGAACTTGCTTTCATATGTGTATGTGTATGCATGTGTGAATAATTTTATCCACTTTTATCCCAAGTGAAGTTTTTCTAACCACCCACACATTCTCTTTTGAGAAGAGATATATAGAGAGATTTAATTTGATACTGGAAACTAAAAATAATTATGCTAAAACTATATACATCAAAGAGATTAAGATGGAAAAAATAAAGCAATGAGTGCTGTGGAAATATAATAAAATTTAACCTTGTAACATGGCATTAATATAAGAACTAGGTTATATAGCAATTCTCTTTAATATATCAGAAGAATGTATTTAACCAATTTGTTTGAGCTCTTCAAATATGATAAGAACATACAAATTAATATCAAAATAAGATTTACTCTACATATCAGAAATGATTTTGGTAATGATATATCACAAATGTTTAAAGTACAAAGTGTGCAGTGAAAATAATTTTATTATGTAAAATTTTATAATATAGAAACTAATATTTAAATTTTATACGGAAGAAATGTGTTATATTTTTGTCATTAAAGGACAAAAAGAAGATTCTCTAGATACTAGTTTTAGAGACAAAACACATAGATCAAGATGAGAAAGAACAAACAAGTTAATTATGATAGACACGGACTTGGTTCATATGCTGAGGTTAAACGGATCTTTTGAATATTGACCAAAAAAAAGAAAAAAAAAAGTCTGGAATCCGAGCCAAAAATAATATATTTTCATGAGACAAACTAAGGAAAGAGATTTCTGGAGATTAAAATGATTTGTATAATAAGCCATTGAAGTATAATGGAGAGAAGGACTTCAGAAACATTTAACACTTTGTCTCTAGAATTTATCACTGAAGTTTCTTTGAGAAAGGTATAGTAAGGCTTTAGAATCAATTATAAATTTACAACAAATATGTGAGGCTAGAAAATGAAGCAAAATTTTCAGGATTTATATTAGGAAAGTGAATAAATGTAAGTAGTTATCAACTTTTTTTTTCTTTTTTTCTTTTTCTTTTTTTTTTTTTTGGAGGCAGATTTTCACTCCCATTACCCAGGCTGGAGTGCAATGGCACAATCTCTAATCACTGCAACCTCCCTCTCCTGGGCCAAAGGAATTCTCCTGCCATGGCCTCATGATGTTCAGGCTATTATCAAACTCCTGGGCTCAAGCGATCTGCCCGCCTGGGCCTCCCAAAGTGTTGGGATTACAAGCATGAGCCACCACACCCGGCCAACTTTATAAGTTAATTATAAAAAGAAATGTTTACCTCCCACTTCTCCCAAGTTGTTCATAGTAGATGCTAACAAGGTGTTCTTGGCTGGAACTAATTAAAACTATATTTGCCAAAAACTTAAAAATAAAAGTTGGCAAAGCGCAGTGGCTCATGCCTGTAACCCTGCATTTTAGGAGGCGGAGACGGGAGAATCGCTTGAGGTCAGGAGTTCAAGACCAGTCCAACCAACATGGAGAAGCCCCATCAATACTAATAAACACAAAAATTAGCTGGATGTAGTGGCAGGTGCCTGTAATCCCGACTACTCTGGAGGCTGAGACACGAGAATTGCTAGAACCCAGGAGGCAGAGGTTGCAGTCAGCTGAGATCGGAGCAGTGCACTACAGCCTGGACAACAGAGTGAGACTCTGCCTCAGAAAAAAAAAAAAAAAAAAGAAAAGAAAAAAAAAGTTAAAGCTACTAGCAATGACAGAAGAAGAGTATCTCTTTAGAAGAGTCATTAAAATGTCAATGTTTTACAAAAGAAGCTACATAATCAGGCATCAGAAATCAGGTGAATAAGAGGTTAGACAAATTAGTGAAGTAGAAGAATTTACGATTTCTAGAAAAGGCTCATAAAATATTTATATTTTCCTAGCTTTCTTAGTTTTCACCATAAGTAAATTGAATTATTTCTGTTGCTGGTTATTCTTTTACCTTTTATTAAAATTTTTAAAAAAGCTTTGATGTTTAGTTGAGAGTCGAAGTATGGGTATAAAAAGTATTCAACCATAAAAATGAGGTCTTTTCCCTAACTCTAGTGGAACTATGCTCATTGCCTTTAGAGAAAAGCCAAAAGATTCGTTTACATTGTGATGATGTAGTTAATCAAATGTGCATGCCACCACACGCAAGTTGGTAGGATGGTTGAAAACAGGAGTGTGTTAACTATAGCAAAATATGTCTCCCAGCAGGAAACTGTAACCCATCTAAAAGTCCATGAGACAGACACACTTATTTTAACTACAGTTGTTAAACTACAGTTGCTGCAGTCGGGCAGTTTTGATAGAAATTTGAAAGAAATTGTATTCATTTTATATTGCTGTATAATACATTATCACAATCCAGGTTGATATAACAAAATTGTATTATCTGACAATTTCCATGATATAGATATCTGAGTTTGGGTTAACTGAGTTACCTCCTCAGTGTTTCCCCAGCCTGAAGTCAAGGTGGTAGGTGGGACTTCAATCTCATATGAGGGTCTGGGGCCTCTTTCAAGCTCCCTGGTGCTTGACAGAATTTATTTCCTCGTGGTTGTATGACTGAAGTCCCCATTTTTTTTTCTAGCTGCCAACTGGGAGCCCCTCTCAGCTTCCAGAGGCCACCCAGAGTTCCTTGATGTGTTCCTTACATCCCTGAAAGTATGGCAGTTTGCTTCATCATCTTCAGACCTGCAGGAGAGCCCCTCTCAAGCCTTGCCTTCTTATAATGGCTCATCTGATTGGGTCAGGCCTAACCAGGTCAGACCCAACCAGGGTAATCTCCCTCTAATTAACTTAAAATTAGCTAATTAATGATATTTCATCATATTCACTGTCCCTACTCCCACTCAATGGGAGGTGATTATACAGGACATGAACACTAAAGGGTGGAAACCTTGAGAGGCGTCTTGTAATTTTGCCTATCATAACCACAGTTGAAAATAATATAAGGCAGTGGAGTAATGAAGAAATGGAGAAACTGATACCAGAAAACCAAATCAAAAGATCTCCCTTTTCCCACATGATGCCAAAGTGGTATAAGAAACCAAAATGAAATGAATACAAATGGTTTAAAGCAATTTGATGACATGTTATGCAGCTATTAAAGTCATGCTTTCAGACAGTATTTAATGACATGGAAAACACATAGTGTATAATCCCAAATAAAATATGAAAATACATGTAATGGAATCTAATGCAAAATATTAGCAGTGGTTATAGCTAGGAAGTCATCTTTTTTGTGTTTTATTGGTGACCGAAGTTTTCCAAGGTAATTGTTATTCTTATAAACAGAAAATAAAGTAAAAGTAAAGCCAATAGACTGTAAGAGCAATAGTCCATTTTTAGGAGATATATTAGACAAAACATTAGCAGTTTAGACAGTAAACTTCATCAGTAAATTATAATAAAATAAAAGTATAAACATGGACATTGTAATAAACATATCAAGGAGTTATTAGAATTCGTTAAAGAGTTTAGAATTTTTAGTTTTGAAAACTGCTCCAACATAGCAAACCAAATTACAAGCTTAGAAACAAAAATTAGATTTAAAAATCATTACAGTTAATTATTTAGAAATGACACTATAGGAATATTTGGATGAATCAATTTCTAAATCAATAAAAGTAGAACATCACATGAACAGAGTAAAGAACAACACCCATATGATCATTCTAATAGATGTTGAAAAAAAGTTCAAAATTCAAAATCTGTTTATGATAAAAGCCCTCAACAAATTGAATACAGAAGAAACATACATAAAGATAAATATCCCATATTACAAATCTATAGCCAACATCGTACTGAATGGATAAAATATTGAAAGTCTTTTTTTTAGGATTTGGAAGAAGACAATGGTGTCAACTTTTACTAATTTTATTCAACTTCAAACTGGAAATCCTGGCCAGGGCACTTAGGCAAGAAAAACAAATAAAGGGCATTCAAATTGGAAACGGAGAAATGGAAGTAACCTTGTTTTCATTTAATTTAATTTAACTAATTTTAATTAATTTAATTGTAATAATTTTATATTTTGAAAAACCTAAAGATTCCATGAAAAAAATCTGTTAGAATCAATAAACTTGTAAGATATGAAATCAACATACAAAAATCACTAGCATTTATTTACACCAACAGTGAATGAACAATCTGAAAAAGAAATCAATAAAGCAGTCCCATTTACAATAGTAACAAAAAGTATCAAATATTTAGCAATAAATTTAACCAAAGAGTGAAAACTGTCTATAAGAAAAACTATAAAACATCAATGAAGGAAATTGAAGAGGAAACAAACAAATTAAAATATATTTTATGCTCATGGTTTAGATGAATTAATATTGTAAAATGACAATACTACCAGAGGCAATTTACAAATCCAGTGCAATTCTTACCAAAATACCCATGACATTCTTCACAAGAAATAGAAAAAAATAAATCCTAACATTCATATGGAGCCAGAAAAAAACACCACATAGCCAAAACAATCCTGAGAGAAAAGAACAACCTGACTTCAAAATACGAAATTTTGGAATTACATATCATGTAATGCATATGGAATTCTGGAATTACATATAATATAATGTATGTAACCAAACTACAGTAACCTAATCAGCATGGTATTAGCATAAAAACAGACACATAGACCAATAGAAAGGAATAGAGAACCCGGAAACAAATCTATGCATTTGCAGCCAACTCATTTTTGACAAAGATGCCAAGAACATACAGTAAGGAAAGATCATATCTTCAATAAATGGTGCTGGGAAAATTGGATAATCATAAGCGAAAGAATAAACTAGACCCTGTTTCTCACAATGTACAAAAATCAAATCAAAATGGATTAACTCTAAGGCCTGAAACTACTAGAAGAAAACATTGGGGAAAATGCTTCAGGACAGTGATCTGGGTAAAGATTTTTGGGGGGTGAGACCTTAAAAAGCACCAACAATAAAGGCAAAAATAGAAAAATAGGGTTACATCATGCTAAAAATCTTTTGCACAGGAAAACAAACTATCAATAAGTGCAGAGACAACCAACAGAATGGGAGAACATATTGTCAAACTATCCATCTGACAAGGGATTAATAATCAGAAAAAATAAACAGTAGAAATAACTCAGAAAGAAAAAACACATTAAAAACTGGACAAAGTATCTGAACAGATATTTCCCAAAGAAGACAAGCTCTATAGGTATATAAAACAAGACAGTAAGCAGGTATACATAAAAAATGTTCAACATCACCAATCATCAGAGAAATGCATATCAAAACCACAATGAGATATCATCTCACCCTAGTTAAAACTGATTTTACCAAAAAGGCAGAGAATAACAAATATTGTCAAGGATGCACAGAAAGGGGAACCCCTATACACCGTGGCTAGGAATGTAAATCTGTACGGCCACTATGAAAAACAGTACAGAACTTCCTCAAAAAAACTAAAAATATAGCTATTACATGATCCAGCATCCCACTACTGGGCATATATTTAAAAGTAAGCAAATCAGTTTATCAGAGAGATATCTACACTCTCATGTTTATTGCAGCACTAATCACAATAGCAAAAATATGGAATCAACCTAAGTGCCCATCAATGAATGAATGGATAAAGAAAATGTGGTATGCAGGCATATACATATACATATATATTATTCACACACACAATGGAATATAATTCAGCCATAGAAAAGAATGAAATCTGATTTGTACCAACGTGGATGGATGGATGTAACTGGAGGTCACTATGTTAAGCGAAATAAGGCAAGCAAACAAAGACAAATCTCATGAGTTCTCACTCATATGTGGAAGCTAAGAAGGTGGGCATCATGAAGAGAGAGTAGATGGATGGTTATCAGAGGTTAGGACGTGTATGGCAAACAGATGATGAAGAAAGGCTGACTAATGGGTACAAATACACAAATGGACAGAAGAGATAAGACCTAGTGCTTGATAAATTAATAGGATAACTATAGTGTACTATAATCTATTGTACGTCTCAAAAGAGCTAGACGAAAATAATTTGAATGTACATAGCATGAGAAAAAAATAATTATTGAAGATGCTGGATATGCCGATTACCTTGATTTAATATTTATGAGTATATCAAATTCTCACGTGTTCCACAAAATATGTACATCTATCACATATCCATAAATTAAAATAATTTTCAAAAATAAAAAATTGAAATTAGACACACTAAGCATATTTAACTAAGAGTTAAATATTTTTAGAAAAATTGTTCCGTGAGAATTATCAGCTCTAGATATATTAAAAATTATATTTCTGGCCAGGCATGGTGGTTCATTCCTTGGAATCCCAGCACTTTGGGAGGCTGAGGTGGGTGGATCGCTTGAGCTCAAGAGTTCAGGACCTGCCTGAAAAACATGAGGAAACCCCATCTCTACAAATAATACAAAAATTAGCCAAATATGGTAGTGTGCAGCTGTTGTCCCAACTATTCAGGTGTCTGAGCTGGGAGGATGGCTTGAGTCCGGGAGGTGGAATTTGCTGTGAGTAGAGATGGCACCACTGCACAACCGGCCAGGGTGACAGAGCCAGAACCTGTCTCCAAAAATATACACTTGTGTATATGTGTGTGTGTGTGTGTATATATATATATGTGTGTGTGTGTGTATATGTGTGTGTATATATATATGTATAGATGTATAGATATGTAGTATCAAAAATTCTTTTCATCATTGTCACAGCCTGTAAACTTAACTCCAGTAAAAGTTGTATCACTGGAAAAATCCCTATAGAAATAAAAAATATTTACAATATTGTGTTTGCCAAAAGTAACTGATACTGCTCTCAATTATATCAATGAAAATGAAGTTGCTATAATAAATGAATTTGCAAAAAAAGTGAATCAGACAAATCTCATGATCAATGAAGACATTCTGCTGTGGCTAACCATAAATAGTCTAAGTATACCATTTCTTCCTGTATACTAATACATAAGACTGTCAAGTAATTTTTTTCAGACTCTTGTCTACATATTGTAGCAATTATTTCTCTGGATCATGTCACGATAAATTAAATGTAAGGTAATTGGTATTTGAGCGATAGCATTTCTTAACTGTAGAAGTGTGAGTGGGTGATATTATCTCCAACACAACACCTCGGTAGTCATTGTATTTTTTCCACTTTCTTGATTTTCTGTAAACCCCTCTTCACCCTCTATTCACTACAAGAGATTTAATCCATACTAACAAATTGATGAAATATATACAAATTTGGAAGAAACTGGGAGCTAAATTTTTCTTTACCACAGAGGGAGTGATAGATTTGAAGATGGAGGAAACTAGAATAAATATGGAGGGGTTATATTGCTTGGCTCCAGTATTCCCACAGGACCTCTGCTCACCCCATATGCAGGTGGTCTTTACCTCCTTATGGCTCTGATCTGACACCTGCCATAAAAGCCATCATTCTTGATGTATGCCCTCCTCACGCTGGTTTGACTTCAACACTTTATATTAATTTGTTTCCTCATCAAAATGCCCTCCGTACTCCACAAGGACTCTGTACTGGGCTACTGCAAACTCTAGTATGTATAGTCCTCTTACTCCAATCAGTCTCCAGTATCTCATGAAGGATTCTGCCTTTCTCCTCATCCCAATGCCATGTGGCCTAGGATAATTTAAGAATTCCTTTGCAGTTGACAGCCATTAACTTATAATTACATCAGTTGGAAAAAGTTTGTGCCTTGCTTCCACTATGTTTAGTTGTATAAGAAAAGTCAAAGAAAATGTGTGTTTGAGTACACCTATCATTGACAATTTGTATTCTTTCCATGAAGGTGCAATGCTTTGAGAGACTACAGGCAAAGAGAAATAAATATTTGTAATGTATATTGATGCATGCCTTTAACCTACATAAGCAAGAATGAGGGATATGAAAACAGAAGAGCACCAGAAACAAGGGAATCTTGATCACGGGTCTAAATGCATGAATGAGCTGGAAGGATCAGAAATTGTGGTTGGACAGGGAGTGATTTAATTCATAACTCTGGAAGATGTGCAACTGCTGCTGGTAATGATAACATCCAGAATATGAACAGGTGTCCTACCACCACAATGGAAAGCACATGTTACTAATGTTAAAACTGTTAGAAATGCAGGTATATAAATTTTCCAAGGCAATGTTAGAGAAACATACAAAAAGTTGTTACAAATATCAATTGTTTGTAAATATTTATTTGTATTGCCTTTGACCTCTGAAATCAAGTTATTAAAACCATAGAGAAATAGTAAGCCAATGTTTCAGGTAAAATGTTTGCTTTTGTCTCAAATTCTAAAATACTTGCCTATACTAAAGAAGTTACAAAACATGGCTTGTATCTTAATTAATCATATACTCCCAAAACCTAACTAAACTATACACCAAGGACTTAAAATAGACTATAATCAACATGCAGTATGTAATGATTTGTTGATTACTCTTTTGAATGTAATTTAAATATAATAAAAATGAGAAATATAAAAGCTAATTCTAGGAGAATGTAAGTTTGTAATTGTAGCTATTAATGGTTGAGTCCACACTGACAATAAATAATATCATGCTGTTTAATTATGTGAAGAAGCTCTAACTATTTAAAATAGATATTTCATGACATTAATAATTACAACAGAGAAAATATAGTTGAGGATAATTTAATTTAGTCAATAATTTAGCAAATGAAAATAAATTATATTTGCATATATAGTAGATACAGATGTAGCTCTAGATGTAGCTGTAGCTGTAGCGGAAGATGTAGTGTAGTTATATATAGAGAGTGTTCTTTAAGAGTAAATCAATTCTAGACCCACCTAGCAAAGATCTCAGTCATTCCTTGACAATATTTATTTCAAAAATTAATTTAAAATATTATAAAAATATATTGACAGAGATTATAAACTGGCATTTCAATGAAAGAAAAACATACACAGAGATTAATTTTTTCTGTTTTTAAAAACATAAGTTTTCTAAGCTATGAGGATGCAAAGGCATAAGAATGATACAATGGACTTTGGGGACTTAGGGGGAAGAGTGGGAGGGGGGAGGGGGTTAAAAGACTACAAATATGGCGCAATGTATACTGCTTGGGTGATGGGTGCACCAGGATCTCACAAATCACCACCAAAGAACTTACTCATACAACCAAATACCACCTGTACCCCAATAACTTATGAGAAATTAAATTAAATTAAATTAAAAAGTGCATTGAAAGCAAGGAAGAGAAAATTTCTGCATGCGTCCAGGGCAGTTTAAAGCCATTTCCCACATTTAAAAATAAGCAAATAAACAAAAACACATAAGTGAAATAATTCAATATAAGTGCAGTGGAAATATTTTCTTACCTATATTTTTGAATACTTAATATTTTTGATGCTTCTGTAAGTGGTCCTATTTTTAAAAATAATTTTCTATTTGTTTATTGTTAGTATTAGAAGTACAATGTATTTTTGTATGCCAATTTTTATACTTATATTACAAAATTCACTTGTTGATTTTAGGATTTTTTGTAAATTACTCAAGATATTTGTAATAAACAATGTTTTCTATGAATAAATACGGTTTTACTTTTTAAGGAAAAAGCAATAAACAATCCAGTCCAATTCAATATTTAAGTCTTTTATTCTTTTTGTTCCCTTATTATACTGGGATGGAAGTCAAGTAAAATGCTGATTAGAATAATGAAAACAGAAATCCTTATCTTATTCCAAATTTTAGAGGAAAAAAATCAGATATTCACTA
This sequence comes from Homo sapiens, assembly GCF_000001405.40. Classification (NCBI taxonomy): domain Eukaryota; kingdom Metazoa; phylum Chordata; class Mammalia; order Primates; family Hominidae; genus Homo; species Homo sapiens. The sequence goes on along the minus strand of NC_000003.12, from coordinate 164,425,260 downwards.
ATGTGTATGATGCCAGTTGAAGTTGTTTCAAAAGTGTCCTTTTCTAAATTGCAAAATGCTTTCTCTCTTTTTTGAAAGTTTTATTAAAAAGCAATGCTGAATTCTGCAAATACCTTTCCTATCATCATGGAGAGGATTGCATTATTTTCTCTTATTTTATTAATATGGTTAATTACAGTAAGTTAATTTAAAATACTTGTAAAAAGCACTGTGCATATTGAGGCTATATTCACTTGGTCTACATGTGTTTCTTTTCTTTTCTTATTCTTTTTTTTTTTTTTTTTTCTTTTTTGAGACAAGTTTCGCTCTCTCGTCCAGGCTAGAATGCAATGGCACTATCTTGGCTCACTGCAACCTCTGCCTCCCAGGTTCAAGCGATTCTCCTGCCTCAGCCTCCCGAGTAGCTGGGATTACAGGCGCATGTCACCATGACCAGCTTTTTTTTGTATTTTTAGTAGGGACGGGGCTTCGCAATGTTAGCCAGGCTGGTCTCAAACTCCTGACCTCAAGCGATCCGCGGACCTTGGCCTCTCAAAGTGCTGGGATTACAGGCGTGAGACACTGTGCCTGTCCTGCATGTATTTGTTTTTATTGTTGGTGGATTTGTTTTGTAAATGCATCTCGTGAAAACATTTTAATGTTTACAAGTGATGCAGCAGTTTAAAAAAATAAAGAAAAGAAAAAAAGAAAACATGAGAAAGAGAAGAATGTTCATGCCTTGTACAAGAAGAAGGTGCCAGAAATATGAAAGAGAATCCTTAGGCATAGCCCTTATGCTAGTATCCTTTTCCATTGGTTGGAAAATAATTACTCCTGATGTCTCATCCTCACCTAAATTTCACACTTTAAACACTTTATTTCCCTTGAATAAGAAGTCATTTCTGTACTATCTTATTTTAAAAAATAGATTTCAATATTTTCCTTCTCAAATTTCATATGTACTATGTACAGTTAAACACTTATAGTACTATACAATATTCATGGTGGCCAGCATGAGTAAACCAGAGTATTGGAAAAAAATTATAAAGCAAGTAATATTTGAAGAGGACTTTAAATTATTTTAGAGTAGTATATTTGGAGAATGCAGTGAATATAATACTATGCGTAGGTTAGTGGATGAAGAATAAGAAGAATAGATACGGTGGAAAAATTAAATAATGACCAGGTTTCAAAGCTTTCTGAATAACTTATTACAATGTTTGCTATATATTTGATATAAATTTCATTTGTTAAACATTATATTTAAATGATCAAGTAAAAGTTTTAGGAATATTAATTTGGCAGTGATAACAGGAAACATGAGATAAGAATAAGATTACAGAGGGAATGTACATCCTGAGGACTATTTCAGTACCCCCTAGAAAGCTATAGAAAGAATGCAATGCATGCATGATACATGGTAGTTAGAGTGGTAAGTGGGGTAACTAAATTTGGAAGATGAAGGAGAGGGAGGTATGTATGATGTGTTTTCAAAAATTTGAGAAGGAAAATAGTGAAATCTATTTTTTAATATAAGATAGTAGAGAAATGACTTCTTATTCAAGGGAAATAAAGTGTTTAAAGTGTGAAATTAAGGTGAGGATGAGACATCAGGAGTAATTATTTTCCAACCAATGGAAAAGGATACTAGCATAATGGTTATGCCTAGAGATCAAAGATCTTCAAGAAAGAAAGTATGATGAATTTCCAAATGTATTTGAAATTGAAAGAAATTGAAACTGTAAATATTCCAGGCATATTGATTTCCTGGAAATTAGCTAAAAATCATTTTGAAAAAAATTTAATTATGATAAAATATTCTGAGATTGTTTTAAGCTTTGTTTATGGGGGCTGAAAATGCAGGTAATAAAAATTTGAAGCAGAAACTGAAAATACACTTTCCCACCACCACGCATTCTATCATACCATCCAAGTCATCACTGGGCTCAGAAAATTTTGTAAAAACTGATTTTCAACCATGTAGCGTTCATATTTATTTCTCCTCTCTACCAGTTAGCACTGTGTATTGAATACAGTAGGTACTCAAATATTTTTGTGTGGAATAAAACAAATTACAAAGAGATGCATTAACACAAAAGATAAGGTACAATGGCATTACAACAACTGCATATCAAAATAGGAGAAAACATTTCTAGCTTAAACTATACATACAAAAACACTTAAGCATAGGAAAAATTAAAAATGTAAAATTATTAGATGATCATGATAATTCCTATTACATTGGTGTAGAAAAGATTTTTAAATATTGTGACAAAAAGCAAAAACCTACAGAAAATGATTATAAATATTGTCACATTAAAATACAAAAGCATCTTTAGTTTTGTAACATGCTACAAACTGGGAAAATATATTAACACTTTAATAAAAAAAGAAATAAAACATGCTACAAACTGAGAACATATATTTACGTTTTAATAACAAAAGCAATATTGCTATCTAGAACATATAATAATGCTTTTGTTTTAATTCTGAAAGCAACAATAACCAGTCAGGACAAATGAAACATTAAAAAAATGAAAATGGGAAAGCCTATCAACAGGAAATTCTCTCTCGCTCTCTCTCACACGCACACACACACACACACACGTACACTACCATCAACAAATGGGCCAGCCATAAAACTGTGAAAAGATGGTTAGTTACACTAATAATCAGAGAAATACAAATCAATCATGAAATACTACGCTGCAATAAAAAAGTACGAGATCATGTCCTTTGCAGCAACATGAAGAGCTGATGGTTATCATACTAAGTGACGTAACACAGGATCAGAAACCTGAATATCTAATTTTCTCACTTTTAAGTGGGAGCTAAATATCAAATACATATAGATACAAAGAAGGAAACAAAAGACACTGGGGCCTAGTTGAGGATGAAGAATGCAAAGAGAGTGACAATCAAAGTCTACCTATCAAGTACTACATTTATTACCTGGTTGACTAAACAACCTGTATACCAAACCTCCATGATGTGTAACTTACCTTTATTAAAAAAAAAAAAAGGACATGTATCTCAAACTGAGGAGTAAAAAAAAAATTAAAAATGAAATATGAAAAAAATCCAAAACAACCATCATTCTGCATTTTGACTTTTTGGAACTATCATATTGTCAAAAATTAGCATCTGATAGTATTAAGTGCTTCTAAGGACATTCAGCAAATGGGACAGCTTATATATTTTGGTAGAAGTGGAAATTATTAAATCAATTTCCTTTTAAAGTTTTCATCCTAGAGATACTCTAGCACAAGAGAAAAAGAATAAATGATTCAGGAGATTCACCGTTTTACTATTTAATGTTGAAAGTACACATAGACTGATTACAGTAATAAATTACATTTTATTCCAATAATAAAATTATTTCCATAGATAACTAAATTTATGTATTTTTGCATGAATCAAACTAAAAATATATAACACAGAGAGAAAACTTGCAAAAGTTTGTTAATAGTATGAAATCATTCAAATAAAATAGAAAATAATGCAGTGTGTTCTTATATGAATGTACATGTAAGGGCCAAATACTTCTAAAATACATAAGACTAATATACACAAACTTCAAACTTCAGGAGAATGGTTATTTTTGGGGGTGGAGGGTAAAGGGATCAAGATGGTTATTTTGGGGGATGGAGGGTAATGGGATTAGGATAGGATTTTGGTGATACTGATAATTGTTAACAACAAAAAATAAAGTAAGACAGATCTAAGCCTATGTTTAGTTTATTTAATCTCAGTAGTGACTACTAAGCAGCTATTATGTTAATTCTCATGAATTGAAATATTTCCAAATTAAAATTGTTTCAAAATAAATGGCAAAGATGAATGGAACCTATCTTTTCTTCTAATATTGGGTGACCTGAATCTAAACATCTACTTCCTGAGAGGCTTGTTCTCTTCACTACTTTCCTCCAAAAAGCCCAAATTCTTTGTGGATCCAAAGCAAGTCTGGAGTTCTCAGTATGCAAAATGAGAGAAACTTCCCTGGTTAAAACTAATAAAGTCTCTGAAGAGCAACTGTATAAAAATTCTTTTTGACTAGTCTTTCGTCCAATTAAAATGAGCCATATTAAAATTTAAGTATGGCTTCTAAGCCATACACATACCATTAAATTTGCAGGAATAATGAAGGCAACCAATTTTAATCCTCTTCAATAATGCATCCCTATATTTGCTCTTAAGGTAAGGGTAGTATTTATTTATTGATCATGATGCATTATCCACACAGTGGAAACTATTAAGCAGTTTCATCTCCTGTGATATTTCTAAATAATTCAGAAACTGATTTCTGTTTTCTTTTTATCATTAAAGTCTGTCTCATTTAAACGTAAAAAATTTAAGTGACCTATGATTTTGTTTCTTTACTCCCCAGACAGCACAAATGGCGTAAAGTAGCTACATAGAATTTGCAGATATAAGTATCCCCTATTGTTTCATCTTTTTCCGAATCAGCACCAATGGCATAAAGTAGCTACATAGAATTTGCAGATATAAGTATCCCCTATTGTTTCATCTTTTTCTGCATCAGCAGCTTTTCTTTCCAAGTATTTAGGAACAAAACACAAAATAATTTTAGAAATATGCTTTTTAACCGGGCTGGGCTCGGTGGCTCATGCCTGTAATCCCAGCACTTTGGGAGGCTGAGGCGGGTGGATCACAATGTGAAGGATCGAGACCATCCTAGCCAATGTGGTGAAACCCTGTCTCTACTAAAAATACAAAAATTAGTTGGGTGTGGTGGCACGCACCTGTAGTCTCAGGTACTCAGGAGGCTGAGGCAGGAGAATTGCTTGAACCTCTGAGGCGGAGGTTGCAGTGAGCCGAGATCAGGCCACTGCACTCCAGGCCTGGGCAACAGAGCAAGACTTCGTCTCAAAAAAAAAAAAAAAGAAAGAAAGAAATATACTTTTTAACCTATCGCTCCGTCTAAACACTGTAGTTTCCTCATGCTCCTCATAGCCAGGTATTTTTAAATGTCTCCTTTTTTTTTTTTTTTTTTTTTTTTTTTTTTTTGCTTTTCATCAACTCCTAAAATATCTGGAAATCTGACTTCTGCCTTCAGTCTAATCTCATTAAAACTGATCTTGCTAATATCTACAGTTACTTTTCAGTATTTTATTTGACCTCTCCTTCAAGGGTGACCATATAAAGTATATAATTTCTCTACAGAAATGCTATAGGTGAGTGAGTTAAGGTCTCAAAAGATAAGGATAAGGTTTATCTTGAGATGGAAATACAGATTGATGAAGTTGAAAGAACACTGAGTTTTATGCCATTTTAATTTTATACTTCACAACTATTAGTGTGTAAATTTTTTTTGCTATTGAGTTTTTATTTTCTCACAATCATTTCTTCAATCTACTCTCTTCCCATTTCAACCCATAGCTCAGGTTGCATTTTTTTCTACCAGAGCTTAAAAGACTGGATTTGCTGTTGCCTCAGCAATGTGACTTTGGCCAAGTTACTTAACATCTCACTGCCTCAGTTTCCTTAATTATAATATGGGGTTAATAATAATTATTTCTGTGTCATTGTGAGGATAAAGGTGCTTAATGTCTGTGAAGTAGTTAAAACAATAGACACTGACCAATAGAACAAAATAGATTCCAGAGGCAGACTCATACCTATATAATCAAATGATTTATTACAAAGGCAAGAGTAAAGTCATGTACAGAAATATTTTCAAAAAATGATTGTGTTAGTTAGATAACCCTATCTAACACTGTAAACACAAAATAATTCCAAACTTATCACGGGTCTAAATGTTAAAAGTAAAGCTATAAGACTTTTTAAAGAACACATTGGAGAGCATTCTTGTGACTTCAGTGTAGGCAAAAATTTCTTAAACAGATGCACAGAGACACCTAGTGTGAACAAAAAACAGAAAGAGATAAATCAGATATATTAAGATTAAGAAATTAGGATTACCAAAAGTGGCCAGTAAAAGAGTGAAAAGGCATCCCAAAGAGTGGTAAAGATACTCAAAATACATACATCACATCAAACAAACATACTTGTAACCAGTACATTATAAAAGATTATGCAAATCCATAAGACAGATAATCCAATAGGGAAAAAATGAGCAAAAAGTTCAACTTACACTTTACAAAAGTGATGTAAAAGTAAAAACATATGAAGCTAATTTACACTGTTGGAGAGGAGTGATTTACATTGGTGAGCATGTAGAAGGGATAAGTAGCAACAGAAAGGGAAGACAAAAGAGACTTGTAGAGCCTGATAATGTTCCATTTATCTGGTTCTGATTACATAAGTCAGTTTGTAGAAACATGATCAAGCTGTAGACTAGTGACATGCTAGCTTCATATATTTCTATAAATATATACATACTTGTATGTATGTTTTAAAAGTAGCACATAGTAAACACTACACAAATGTCAGCTGTATCAGTGGTCACATTTTTAATACCTTTCTATGAACATAGCAGACCAGTTTTCTACTTGGTTTAGAAAGTGATCTTTAGAAGTAGGATTTATTTTTGCAATTCTTTTTCAGGGTAATACTCTTTGGTTCTTTATGGTGCAGAATTTTTATAGATCTCATGTTGATTTTTTCCTGTTTGCTCATCCTTATACAAAGGAACATCTGCTATTCTGGGCACTTGCCAACAGCAGGGTGTACTGACTGCACTTGACCCCCACTTACTGTCCACATGAGTGCTCGTAGACCCTCCCACATGGATGTAAAACAGAGAGCAGGTTGACACAGCTCCTAGTTTAATTTGTGGAGTCTTACAGGGATTCATGTAGTGCTTTTCTATCAAATTGAAGGGCATCCTTTTCTGCTTCAGTACCCCATACTCTGAAACACAAGGAAAACAATATATGTCCCATATCAAAGGCTTTCTTTCCAAAGTGTGTTTCTTAGAGGCAAACAAGTATTCATTCAAAAGAGGCACTTAAAACTTTTTATTGTATAAATGGTGGTTCTGCATACAAGTTGATTTGAAAAAGAATCAAAGAATACAATTCCTAGGAATGGTTTCAAAGGAACAATTTATAGATAATATATCTGTAACTACACCACAGGAAAGTAATAATATGACTCATAAACCTTTAATGCCATAATGGCCTGTGAAGGAATTCTACACTTCTTTCCTTGACTCTGAAGGCCCTTTGCAATCTTGCTCAATCTACTTTGTATCTTATTTCCACTCACCATGCATCTTCTCCTCTGGTCAAATCTAACTAACTCTATTCACCACACATGCCATACTATTTCCCAGACCTAAGATTCTGTATAATTATTATCTTTCCACCTAGAGAAGCCTTCCTCCAGATATCCACATTTTCACAAGCTAAATATATTTTAGGGACTAGTTCATTTGTCATCTATGCTAATGACACATTTCCCTCTTCTGAATGTCTAAAACATTTTATCTAAACATTGTTTTGGTTGTTTTTTAATGGCACTTCAACATAGTATAACAGTTGTTTAAATATGCATTGCTCCAAAGGCAAGATCATCATCCACACAACTGTGTATTATATTCTTCTCTTCTTACACCACCATACTGTCTTATATTAATATTATTTGGATAATCAATATTGACTGCATTATCTATAAATATATTATGGCATTTGACTGACCTAGTGTCGAATTCCACTCTTTATATTTGTAGCTGTGTAATCATGGGTATGTATTTATCCACTCTATTCTGTACACTCATGAAAATGATTAGTGGAAAATAAGTTATGCAGTATATCTACAAAGTCTTGCAATAAAGGCACACAATAAACACTTCATAAATAGGAATCATCTAAATTTAAATTCTCAATAAAGATTTTAGGATACCAGGATAAAACGAATCAGGTTTTTCTCCCTTCCTTTTTTATATATTGCCTAAACAACATTATTACTGCTTATTCAGTGTCTTTAAATTTTTCTCATACTCTAGCAATTTGCCTCTTTCATTTCCAGAAAAAAAAAAGTCCCTGAAGCTTTTGGTCTTTGGCCAATGTGACCAAAAGTTCAAAAATAGTTCAGAAAGTATGGGTCTATGATGTTTTTCCTTCAATAAAACAGCAAGTGCAACTTTAAAGAAAAACTTCTACACATTTTCTGAGAGGGCAAGAGCTCAGACAGCCTGCCGAAGAGTTTCACGTGTATCTATAAAGTTTTGCACAAGGATTGAAAAAGATTAAACAGTAGCTGCTTTGCTAAGAGTATTACATTCCAAAGGAATTATGCTCATGAAATATTTGTAAATTCCCTTTAAAAAGAGTTACAAAACACTGAAAAACTTTATTGTACTATTAGAACTTACAAATTGACAGTGCAAGGCAATCATCCTGTGATGTGCAGTCTGTGATTTGCAGTTCTGGCCATTAAAAGAAGCTCATGATGTTAAGGCCTTTAGTCTTTTTTAAATCCAGTCATTCCTGTTTTCTTCTCTAGTCTTGTGTAAATGGAAGGTTCTGACAAGCTCTCAGGATTCAAGAATTGACCCTGGCAAACCTACATCTGCATCTGTTTCAATTTTGGTTTGGTGACTGAGTTTAAGCACCTTCTGTGGTTCCAGAGACAGCCTTCCTGGACTCTCTATGGAATGTGGATTGCTGGTTGTTCTTTCACATTTTAGCGGTTGCTGTGGTCCTATTTAAACTGAGATAGTATTTTGCAACCAAGTATTATGTAAAGAATATCCCCATGGGCACTACAATTCTTCAACATGGAGCTTTGTTTACCCTTTAAGAGCATCAAGAGTAAGCAAATGAGCCCCCCTCTGTAAGTCCATAAACAGATTAAAGAAAAACATGACAATTTTAATAAAAAACAGCAATATGACACAAAACTGATTAGCATGAGAGCAAAATCCAGCTTAAAAACATAACTTTTCAACCAGATTTGTGTGAACTTACTCTCTAGGTGTGTACTTTTTCAATGTAAAATCTTTACTGTTTATTTTTAAAGTACAAGTTAACCTAACCTATAAATATTGTTAATATTAATGTTAATTAATTATTTTTTAATTAATTAATTAAGGTAAGGACTCACTCTGTCACCCAGACTGGAGTGGAGTGGCACAATCTTGGCTCACTGCAACCTCCACCTCCCAGACTCAAGCGATCCTCCTGCCTCAGCCTCCGGAGTGGCTGGGATTACAGGCGTGCACCACTACTGCCTGGCTAATTTTTGTATTTTAGTAGAGACAGGGTTTTACCATCTTGGCCAGGCTGGTCTCGAAATCCTGACCTCAAATGATCCACCCACCTTGGCCTCCCAAAGAGTTGGGATTACAGGTGTGAGCCACCACGCCTGGCCTAATGTTAATTATTTTAATTATTTTAAATATATTTTTAGAATACAAGCTTTCATTGTTCTCTGAATTCAGTTGTCCAACAAATCTGGCTCAGACTCTTTTCATTTGTTATTTGGATTACCGCAACTATTTCCTAGTTTCCCTGTCACTAGTATCATACACTTCAAATTTCTTTAACAGTGATATTCCGAAAAAGCAAACATTATCAGCGATTCCTTACTGTAAATCATTTAATCACTGCTCGCTTCAGGATAAAATTTGCACCACGATGTATCAGACATTCAGGACCTGAGACCCATTAATTTTCCTTTCCAATTTAAACCTTCTCCCCAAATGCATCCCTACTCTCACAAACTACTCTTCATTTCTAGAAAGATCTACCATCTTTCTTGGCACAATTTTGGATTGGTATTGACTTTGCTTAGAATGCTCTTGCTTTTTATAGCTGTGTATCCTTCTTAGTTAATGTATTAGTCAGGGTTCTCTAATATCCTATGTTTTAATATATATATGTGTGTGTGTATATATATATCTATATAGATAGATAGATAGATAGATATCCTATTAGTTCTGTCCTATATATATATGAGTTTATTAAGTATTATCTTACATGATCACAAGGTCACTCAATAGGCTGCAAGCTGAGGAGCAAGGACAGCCAGTCTGAGTCCCAAAACTTAAGAACTTGGAGTCCGATGTTTGAGGGCAGAAAGCATCCAGCACGGGAGAAAGATGTAGGTTGGGAAGTTAGGCCCATCACTCCTTTCATGTTTTTCTGCCTGCTTTATATTCGCTGGGAGCTGATTAGATATTACCCACCAGATTAAGGGTGGATGCGCCTTTCTCAGCCCACTGACTCAAATGTTAATCTCTTTTGGCAACACCCACACAGACACACCTAGGATTAATATTGCATCCTTCAATCCAATCAAGTTGACACTCAGTATTAACCATCACAGTTAATCATTATGATTCTTCTTGTGTTACTTTCAAGAAGTATTCGCTGGCCCACCCAGATATACAATGTATAAATATTGTACCATTGTTATAAATATGGGTAAGTCACATTCATGCTTTCATTTACCTAATGTAGTATTGCTTAAGGGTTTGAGCTTTATTTAGTAATTTCAGTCTAATTCATTGCTTCTGCCTCTTCAAATCCCACAATGATGAAATCTTTCCTTTCATTCCTTCTTTCAAGATATGTGTGTATATCAGTTCCGAACATATTTTTAAGATCTACTACTTCTAACCAAACAAAATTGAAAGGTATTAACATCATTATCATCATCATCAAATATCAGCATGTAGTTATAAAAAGACAAGCTGACCCCAGATTAGCTCTCTTCCACTTGATAAACTAAATGGAGAAGATACTACCTGGGTTAGTAAGAGTTTAATATATCCCGGGCATTGTTGTAATATAATTATAATATATTCAGTATACATAAATTAATTCTCACATTAATGGCATTAGGTAAGTAATATTTTCTCTACTTTATAGATGAAGTATAGGGAGGTCAAGTAACTTGCCAAAAAGAATCATGAAATGAATACATAAGAAGTCAAGATATAGAAGCAGGCATTTAACATTATACTATCCTGTCAGAAAACAGACAATGGGGACTACTAGAGAGGAAAAGGAGGGAGGGAAACAAGGGTTGAAAAACTATCTATTGGATATTATGTTCACTACCTGAATGACGGGGTCATTCATACTTCAAACCTCAGCATCATGCAATATACTCATGTAACAAACCTGCACATATATCTTTTGCATCCAAAATAAAAGTTGAAATTTTAAAAAAGCAAAGGGGAAAATAGAAATGGAAAAAAACAAGTAATTGGAAAAAAATACCATCCTGATTTTTAAAAAATATTTTTCTCTATAATGAGAACATGTTGAGAATGTATCCTGAAAATTGTAAAACACACCTCCAAATAGTATTAGTAAGAAATATATTATTACGAGAAAAAAACTTGTGTTTCTCTAAAATTATTCTGAAGGTAATCAGCATAACCTAATTAAATATTAATTCTTAAAAGTTAAAAGTGCAAAGAATACACTTTTATATGCACAATGTTTCAAAACAACTTATTGATTATACACTGCAAATTAGATTTGAGAATTTAGTTAATAAACTATTTTTCTTTTCTTCTGTCAAACATGCTATTGAAAATAGAATCCTGGTCATCTATAGGAATTCGGTGGAGATATCCAAACAAAGTATTAGCTATTAATATTCAATGCTCTTTTAAAAGGATTCATATCTGGAGTACAGAAATTGACTAAATGAGGTTTACATGGTTTTCTGAATATAACATGCTATTTTTCTACCATGCTTCACTACTTGATTAAATGATTTTCCTAAAAGAATATGCCCTGAGCTTAAGTGAGAAAGTGCTTACAACAAATTGCCAGTGATATAACTCAAAAGCCCAGTGATAAGCTCCCAGCATCACCTCCACATTAATGTGAAGATTCAGTTCCTTAAGAGATTTTCACTGTCCAATTGTAAAACCCACCAGCTAGAAATCTGCACTGATGGAAAACGTGTTCTGTGAAAAGCCCTTTGAGACTGGAAGATCTCAATGGTAAATTATTAGGTATTACATAAGACAAAACTTGCCAAGAAAAGACACAAAATTAAGAAGAGATGAATCTATGTATGGAGCTCAGTTTTCTTCCTAGCACTAATTATAAACTTGAAAATAAAAAGGAAGTGGACATAATGACATCTACAGAACTCTCCACCCCAAATCAAGAGAATAGACATTCTTCTCAGCACCACACAGCACTTATTCTAAAATTGACAACATAATTTGAAGTAAAACCCTCCTCAGCAAATGCAAAAGAAAGGAAATCATAATAAACAGTATCTCAGACCACAGTTCAATTAAATTAGAACTCAGGATTAAGAAACTCACTGAAAACCATACAACTACATGGAAACTGAACAACCTGCTCCTGAATGACTACTGGGCAAATAACAAAATTAAGGCAGAAATAAATAAGTTATTTGAAACCAATGAGAACAAAGCCACAACGTATCAGAATCCCTGGGACACAGGTAAAGCAGTGTTTAGAGGGAAATTTATAGCAATAAATGCCCACAGGGGAAAGCAGGAAGAATCTAAAATTGACACCCTATTACAATTAAAAGAACTGGAGAAGCAAGACCAAACAAATTCGAAAGCTAGCAGAAGACAAGAAATAACTAACATCAGAGCAGAACTGAAGGAGATAGAGACATGAAAAACCCTTCAAAAAAATCAGTGAATCCAGGAGCTTGTTTTCTGAGAAGATTAACAAAATAGATAGCCTGCTATCCAGACTAATAAAGAAAAGATAGAAAAGTCAAATAGACACAGTAAAAAATGATAAAGGGGAGATCACCAATGATCCCACAGAAATACAAACCAATATCAGAGAATATTATAAACACCTGTACACAAATAAGCTAGAAAATCTAGAAGAAATGGATAAATTCCTGGACACATACACCCTCTCAAAACTACACCAGAAAGAAGTCAAATCCCTGAGTAGACCAATAACAAGCTCTGAAATTGAGGCAGTAATTAATGGACTACCAACCAAAAATGTCCAGGACCAGACACATTCACAACCGAATTCTACCAGAGGTAGAAAGCGGAGCTGGTACCATTCCTTCTGAAACTATTCCAAACAATAGAAAAAGAGGGAATCCTCCCTAACTCATTTTATGAGGCCAGCATCATCATGATAGCAAAACCTGGCAGAAACACAACAAAAAAAGAAAATTTCAGGCCAACATCCTGATGAACATTGATGTGAAAATCCTCAATAAAATATTGCTAAACCGAACCCTGCAGCACAATAAAAAGCTTATCCACCACAATCAAGTTGGCTTCATCCCTGGGATGCAAGCATGGTTCAACATAGGCAAAGCAATAAACACAATCCATCACATAAACAGAACCAATGACAAAAACCACATGATAATCTCAATAGATGCGGAAAAGGCCTTCAATAAAATTTAACACCCCTTCATGCTAAAAACACTCCATAAACTAGGTATCGATGGAATGTATCTCAAAATAATAAGGCTATTTATGACAAACCCACTGCCAATATCATACTGAATGGGCAAAAGATAGAAGCATTCCCTTTGAAAAAGGCACAAGACGAGGATGCCCTTTCTCACCACTCCTATTCAACATAGTATTGGAAGTTCTGGCCAGGGAATCAGAAAAGAGAAAGAAATAAAGGGTATTCAAATATGAAGAGAGGAAGTCAAATTGTCTCCGTTTGCAGATAACATGATTGTATATTTAGAAAACCCCATCATCTCAGCCCAAAAACTTAAGCTGATAAGCAACTTCAGCAAAGTCTCAGGATACAAAATCAATGAGCAAACATTACAAGCACTCCTTTACACCAATAATAGACAAACTGAGAGCCAAATCATAAGTGAACTCACATTCACAATTGCTACAAAGAGAATAAAATATCTAGGAATACAATTTACAGGAGATGTGAAGGGCCTCTTCAAGGAGAACTACAAACCACTGCTCAAGGAAATAAGAGAGGACACAAACAAATGGGAAAACATTCCATGCTCATGGGTAGGAAGAATCAATATCATGAAAGTGGCCATGCTGCCCAAAATAATTTATAGATTCAATGCTATTCCCATTAAGCTACCATTGACTTTCTTCACAGAATTAGAAAAAACTACTTTAAATCTCACACATGGAACCAAAAAAGAGCCCACATACCCAAGACAATCCTAAGCAAAAAGAACAAAGTTGGAAGCATCACTCTACCTGACTTCAAACTATAGTACAAGGCTAGAGTAACCAATACAGCATGATACTGGTACCAAAACAGATATATAGACCAACGGAACAGAACAGAGGCCTCAGAAATAATGCCACATATCTACAACCATCTGATCTTTGACAAACCTAACAAAAACAAGAAATGGGGAAAGGATTCCCTATTTAATAAACGGTGCTGGGAAAAATGGCTAGCCATATACAGAAAACTGAAACTGGATCCCTTCCTTACACCTCATACAAAATTAATTCAAGATGGATTAAATATTTAAATGTAAGACCTAAAACCATAAAAACACTAGAAGAAAACCTAGGCAATACCATTCAGGTCATAGGCATGAGCAAAGACTTCATGACTAAAATACCAAAAACAATGGCAACAAAAGCCAAAATTGACAGATGGGATCTAGTTAAACTAAAGAGCTTCTGCACAGCAAAAGAAACTATCATCAAAGTGAACAGGCAACCTGCAGAATGGGAGAAAATTTTTGCAATCTATCCATCTGACAAAGGGCTAATATCCAGAATCTATAAATTTACAAGAAAAAAACAAGCAACCCCATCAAAAAGTGGGCAAAAGATATCAAGTGACACTTCTGAAAAGAAGACATTTATGTGACCAACAAACATATTTAAAAAAAAGCTCATAATCACTGGTCATTAGAGAAATGCAAATCAAAACCACAGTGAGATACCATCTCACGCCACTTAGAATGGTGATCATTAAGAAGTCAGGAAACAACAGATTCTGGAGAAGATGTGGAGAAATAGGAACGTTTTTACACTGTTGGTGGTAGTGTAAATTAGTCCAACCATTATGGAAGACAGTGTATTGATTCCTCAAAGATCTAGAGCTTGAAATACCATTGACCCAGCAATCCCATTACTGGGTATATACCCAAAGTATTAGAAATCATTCTACTATAAAGACACATGCACAAGTATGTTTACTGCAGCACTGTTCACAAAAGCAAAGACTGTTACTTTAATGTTTACTTTAATGTTTAATGTTTACTTTAATGTTTAATGTTTACTTTAATGTTTAATGTTTACTTTAATGTTTAATGTTAAAGCCCATTACTGTTAGATTGGATAAAGAAAATGTGGTATATATACACCATGGAATACTATGCAGTCATGAAAAAGAATGAGTTCATGTCCTTTGCAGGGACATGGATGAAGCTGGAAACCATCATTCTCAGCAAACTAACACAGGAACATAAAACCAAACACTGCATGTTCTCACTCCTAAGTGGAAGTTGAACAATGAGAACATATGGGCAAAAGGAGGGGAACATCACACACCGGGGACTGCCAAAGGGTGAGGGGCAAAGGGAGGGATAGTGTTAGGAGAAATACGTGATGTAGATGACGGGTTGATTGGTGCAGCAAACCACCAGGGCACCTGTATACCTATGTAACAAACCTGCATGTTCTTACATGTATCCCAGAACTTATAGTAAAAATTAATAATAATAAAAGAAAAGAAAAGAAAAGAAAAAGAAAAAGAGGAAAGAAGAGAGGAAAGGAGGAACAGAGGGAAGGAGGGAGAGAGAAATTAGTTAACTTAAAAATTTCAATTAACTTCAAAACCTTAGTTAGCAAACTGGCCAACCTGAAAATTTTGTGTCTTGTTTGTAATTTGATCCGTTTGAAAGTGCTGATAGCCAGACTTTCAAAATCCATTTTAGACATGTCTGTCTGACTATTAAACTTAGCAGGTATTTGAGATCCATCAATCAGGTACAATAAAACTTACTTTTACATTGTAATTTCTGGAAGGTTTTCTTATGTATTGTCAAATCAGCAAAGCTGTTCTCCCAGACTCCTGGGCAAGCCAGTTCAAGCTCTGAGATTCGGGTGTGATAACCAGACATGCCCTCACTTAGCCTTGATAGCTTTGGTTTTCTCAACCAACCTGGGGAGGAGAATGTTAAGGACAACTTCTCATGCTTAGCAATTATAAAGTGGCAGTTTATAAAATTATAAACTGATGGTGGTAATTGTCAGCAGCAGCCTGGAAAAAAATAGAGCACCAATAGCCAAAAAACATATTTTTCAGTTTCTTTAAAATTCTTACATGTGATATCTGTTTCATAAATTCACAGCTTGAACATGTAGTCTTGTGTTCATTGCTATCACTACCTCATAGTCTCAGAAAGCTTTTTAATATTTACAGGGAATAATCTTATTTTGTTTCAAATGGGTGTGTATATATTACCTGTATATGCATATATTTTGTGCTTACATAATCTTCTTCCTGTTCATTCCCTTAATATTTTTAGCCTCAACGTGTACACAAAGTATAGAAAAGGTGTTCTACCAGTACCAGTACTTGGAACTATTCATTGAATTAGTTACCTGCCTTTTGTTTTTTCCTCTTTTGACAATGCCTCTATGTTAGGAAAAATATTGGTTAGAGAGATACTGTATTAAGCTAGATTTGATGTGAATTTACGAGACAGTGAAAAGGAGGTATATAATAATTTGAAAAGTGTTTAAAAAGTAATGTTTACATATTGAATAACCTGTTCTTTTATTTTCAGATTCTGGATTAGAATGCCTCAACATAGAATAGAATACTACTATGTCACCACATTCCAAGATGTCTCATCATTTGTATTATTTGTGCCATGTGTATTTATTTATTGGAATACTTAGCATATTTTAAATAAAAGCTTAAAAGGAAGTTTGACACTAGTAAAATATTAGTCATCTCAAGGGCTTGCACTAATTGGACTATATATCCAATCATATAAAAAAAGGTATTGAGAAAGATCCTGCACCTGGGCTCTATTGCTTGTATCAGTTAAGTCCTTTTAGTACTTTCTGAAACTGAACTATACCCGGGCTCCTTAGAGCAGGTCATCAGAGATGTAAAGATACCTTCTCACTCCTGTGAATTCACACCTACCGAGGAATTTCTTGAACTAGCAACTTTTGAATTTATGTTCCTCTTGAAATACCAGTGCTGCTGCCTAAAATTCCCAGTGCCTCCATATTTAGAAACACATCTTCACTAGACATGGTTTGGAATGTTCCTGTCCTCCTTGCAGTAAATCTGCCCTTCCTCTCGCTCACAATGCCTGCCAAGAGGCCACATTTGTTTAAACCTTGTGCTTCCTTAGCCCAGTTCCTAAGAACCAAAGTTAGACAGCTAATTCCAGGGAGTTCATCATCAGGAGAACAAAATACTATGTCTTATAGGACGTGGATAATCAATATCCTTCCTGGAAAGGTGAAATTTGGAAACAGGGACTATTTTCAAGACAGCTGTGAGCAGCTGAGCTGAAATGTCATGTAAAGCCTAGAACTGAGGAAGCCCCTTTGAGCTATCTGCACAAGAAGCTATCTGCACAGGGTTCTGTTGAGGCTGGGCCAGGGCAATGTATGATCGATCTAGAGTGAGAGATCAGGACTCCCATTCCAGTTCTGTCATTGAAAGTGTTTATTTAGAAAAATTGATTATCCTCAGAATTTCAATTTTCTCTCTCTTAAAGAGGTGATATTTACACATGATTGGCAGGGTTGCTCCAGAATCAAGGAAGAAAATGTTTCTGGCCTGTACTAAATACCCAAAAAAAAAGTAGTTATTAATATTATCATCACTCTAATGCCTATTTCTTTGTTGATTCTGAGGTCCCTGATGATAGAGCTCATGGCTTGTTCCTCTTTGCATTTGCAGAATCTCTCTCACAATACCTGGAACCGAGGAGATGTTGCATATTTATTCGCTGCTTTTAATAGAACTGCCCCAAACAAAACTAGGACTTAATGTCAGTGAAGTGGTAGTAACAGGCCAGATGGGAGAGGTTTATGAGACTGGGCGTGTTGGGAAAATACCAGCCACACAGAAAACTGCAGGCAAGTCCAGGAAATTCATATAGAGACATAGGTCACACTATTGAGAGGGAGCCACTCACAGAAATGGGAAGTAATCAACTCACCTAAGTTAGTGAAGACCAGAAAGGAAAAAGAAAGCAAGTATGTCACAGCTAGAAAGCTTTGATAGCTATCAACTTGGGACATACAGTAGGTAATAATGGCCCCAGGAAAATCTTTTAGAAGTTAGCATACAGTTACCAGATAAGATAGAAAATGCCCAGTTAAATTTGTTTCTCAGGTAAACGGAGAATAATTGTTTTAGTATAACTAGGTCCCATACAACACATTCTCTCTCTTAATTCTTATAACAATCCTGCCAAGTGTGTGTAAGTATAATCCTTTGATGAAAGAGGTAATTGAGATTCTAAGGAAAATCCTATGTAGTAATTGGGACATAATTAAACACAAAGAAATTATGTGTTGCTTATCTGAAAATCAAACTTAACTGGTATCCTATATTTTATTTGCTAATCTGATAAATTAAATTAGTGTGTGAAGGTTAGGATGCAGGTAGGATTCCAGGCTAAAGTGATATGTAGTCAAAACTTGATTGACTTCAATCAGTTATTACTCACACTAGCTATGTACTCTGGATCCATGGCCCCTATATATAGCAACCTCATATATAGCAAAAAACTAGATTACTAAGTAGTCACATAGAAAGTAATGCGAAGATGCTCTTCTCAGATTTCCAATACCTCAATAGGCCTGTATCTGATACTTGGGCACTTCTTACCTTCAAGAATCCGGGATCTCCTATTTCCCTTTAAGTAGGAAATGAAGTGGAGCTAATGCCTAAGTCAAGGACAAATCTGAAACTGGATATGGGAAGGACCAGGGCCAGGAATCCAAGCATGTTTTCTTTTTTAAAAATAATGTATTTCCTTGTTTCATATTGTATTTAATTCTGTAAACTGTCTCAAATTCGTGCAGGACATAAGCTCAGGTAAATCCTAACAGAATAAATAAATGGACAAGCAAAATCTTGTCCAAAGCAAGGCAATTATCAGAAAACTAAGATAAGGCACCCAGCCATATTCTAAAGAGCAGGTTGCTTTGCTTTCTACCTCAGTTAGCAGCCTGCAGCTCCTTTGCCCCTTTAAATTAACCCCGTGATATCCTTGGCAAATTAAATTTACATTTCCTTTTTGGAGCTTCTTTTTGGACACTGGAAGATAGGTATTCTAAAGACCAGTCTGAGTTAGTGTAAATAAACCAGGCTTTGGAAAATATATTAATTGGAGCCACTTTTTTTGAAAATTATTTTTGACTCTTTCAGTTTTTCTTACTTTAACCTCATTCTGCTTAGTTTTTTGTGGTTTCTTGTTAATAAGAGGTAATATGAGTTAATTTCCACAACATTTCCTAAGGTGGGTGTGGGGAATCAATTTAAAGAAATATTTTTAAAGAATGTTATTTTGTGAGTTCCAGGACTTTTCAATAAGGTGATAGTAGAAAATACTATTTTTTGCTGATTAGGTTCAGTGTTATACACCATAGGCTTGTAATAAATGCAGAAATACTTTAGTGACATGTAGTAAAAAGCTTGACAGTTCAGTCAGTTACTACTCGCACCAGCTAGACTGGATCTGATGCCCACAAAGCACAATGATTTACTTAAAATACTACTTTTTGGTGACTACCATTATAAAATGAAATATTTTTATTTTTTTTCGTATTGTAATAAGTCTCTGTGTATGTCTCCTATTCCTGTCCATGAGGTCCACATAAAGATTGAGGAACATCTCTTTCAGTGTCATAAGGAAGGAGAGATAATAGTAGGCATTTTAGCACAGCATAATTTTGGGTCTTTGTGAGAAGTTACAGTAGCACTAGGTACAAAATTGTGTCAGTAAAAACTCAGGATCCATTTACTTCTCAAAAATACAAGTACTAAGCTCATTCAAATATTAAAAGAATGAAATAAATGGCTGGGTTCTCTGTTTACTCCATGCTGTCCCTGTTCTGTCAATAATGCATTTATTCTTTTTAATATTCTATTTGAAATACATTGACACTTTAGGAAAATGCTCTCATACTATGATACTTTTCAATGAACCAAAGTCGCCCAAATTGCCTTTCCTGACATATTTATTAACTAGTATTCCCTTATTTTACCTTTACTGTTAGAAAAGAACAGATTCATCTACAATATGATGTACATAAGGAGGAAGATGGAAAGAGGAGGTATCATTTTTAATAACTTCTCATATTATTATTAACCAATTACTCCATAAACAATTATCTGCATAATTAGAAGGACCTGCAATATGATCAGGGTAGAGTTAATTTATAACTACCCAGGACTACAAATGGCTAAATACCAAATAAGAAGTCTCTCCCCTCTTCTTTGACTTCTAGTATTCTCAAATGGTGTTGACTATGCCAGAATTTTTGCTCATATCAAACTCAGAAGTCCTCCTTTTTCAAAAATAAAAATTATGAAAGATGTAAAATAAACTTGCTTCCTTATTTGATATCTCCATTGTATTGATCAGTGTTCTACTGCAAGAAAGGAAAATCACTCTGGCTAGTTCAAACATAAGGAATTTATCATTGGTATTAAATGGCTTGCAAAATGCATGCAGATGTTGTTTAAAACCTACACTATAGAACTGGGTTATCAAGGGAACTGGAATTTGCTTTCACAATAATGAACCAGTCATAAGAGTGAGTAGCCACAATCCAAAGGCTACATCAGAAATGCAAACATTTCCATCATAGGACTTACCAACTGAAGCTGCAGAAGTCTCAGAAAACACGGTTTTCATATACAGTATTTTACACAACTACATCTTGTAAATAAAAATAAAATACATTCATTCAGTTATAAGAAAATTAGAGTAATGCAATTCTTAGTTTTCCATATTTAGCACTTTAGACAGTTCACCATAAGAAATTGATGGTAAATGCTATACACTTCCCTGGCCCATCTGGCCACTAATTATCCTAACATGCCTTTCTATTTATATGCAAAATCACAAACAATAACACCAGCAGTGAGAATATGTTCCCATTCAACATAATACACTTATGCCCCATAAAAATGAAGAACTTACCCTCTACCTGCAGAGAAAGGATCCAACTTTCCAACCATTAGTATACCTGTTTCTGAGTGGTACTCATTCCTTTCATAATTAAATCAATATTCCTATCTTTATATTCTATATTAAATGAGCTAAGTTTAAAAATGATTCACCACCAAGACCTGTATGTAACATAAAATATTAGAGAGAGAAGGAAATAAGGACTTGTATAAGATAGATTAATGTATGGATGGATAGATAGATAGATAGATAGACAGATAGATGACAGATGACAGACTGAACAATATAGTATGGGTAGCAAATAAAATCCTTTTTTTTGTAACAGGCCACAATGCTGTACTTTGTATCTATAATTTCTTTCTTTCACTGCACATTTTATGTGTCCTTTTCCTTGAGTAAAACCTCAGTCAGTTAATATTCTTCAAATGGGATGCACCAACTATTTATTCCTGCATATGTCAAACTTTTGGAAATCCTACTATTGTGTAATAGTAATCTGACATCAATTTTCCACAAGAGACATGCTAGTTGGAGCCTCTTTGGAAGGTTTCTGAGTTTCAGACACACTCAACCCATTGTATAAGGGTCCCTTAAGAATCTGGATCAATCCTTCCAGGATCATAGTAAAGCCTTTATTTGCCTATTGATTCTGGGTTATGAAGAGCCAAAATGGTCAGGTGTCTGTCTTTCAGCTCCATGAAACAATCACTATGTCTTCTAGTAAATGCATTCTCCTCTTATGCACCAAGAACACTAAAATAGCAGAGGATAAATGTTGAAAGATAGAAACATTTCCCTCATGAATCATTTATTATAATTGTGAAAATAGCCAAGTCTTTACTTCCAGGCTCCAAGTATTCCGACTGCAGCATAAATGACAAAATAGATTTTTCAGACATATACTACCTCTTGAAAAACAGAGAGTTGAAACAGATGCCCATGCATTAGATACTGTAAAATTTAAATTCATCAACTAATGTGAAATTGGCTTTAATGGTAATTGACATCTGTTAAAAGCAAAATTTTGAAATGCTACTCCAGCTTGAATACTGCTGAGAAAGATATTTCTGAGTAACATACCATCAGAATCCACAGAAAAGTTGTCCTTCTCATAAACTTTATCACCAAAAGATATGTCTGCCCTGAGTTTCATGCTGTTTATAATAGAAATGCCAAAAACTACCAGGTATCCCCACACATACACTCTTAACATCTCCAAAACCTGACTATATCCCCACAGAAACTCTTTTCATTTCAGCATTTGAAAAGGTATCCACCTCCAGCCATAAATCTGAAAGTCTTTTTGATAAATAAATTTTCTTACCTCCACCCCCCCTTTCATTCAAATAAGTCTCCAAATTATATCTATATGTTACCTAAATATATGTTATCTAAAGATCAAGTCAATCCACCTTTTCTCACCTTTCAAGCCTCATCTCTTCCCGATCATGACCATCTCTTATTCTAAACGACTGCTTGTTTTCTGTCAATTTTATTATAAAATGTTACTTTTGCAACAACCTAATACATCCATTTTCATCATCTGGTTGATTAACGTTCTACTTCCAGTGTCTAAACCACTTTTCTTTACACTTACAAACTCCTAAACTTTACCCCTCTACACCAAACTCCCTTCTCCATAACCCCAACACACACAGACACACACGTACCTGGCTCACATCATTCTACAAATGTGCCCATTGAACATGGCTTCCTCCAGGCAATCTTCAATGACCTCCTACAACCAAGTGAGGTGGTTTTGAGAGGTGACAGCGTGCTGGCAGTCCTCAGAGCCCTTGCTCGCTCTCGGGGCCTCCTCTGCCTGGGCTCCCACTTTGGGGGCACTTGAGGAGCCCTTCAGCCCACCGCTGCACTGTGGGAGCCCCTTTCTGGGCTGGCCAAGGCCGGAGCCGGCTCCCTCAGCTTGCAGGGAGGTGTGGAGGGAGAGGCGTGAGTGGCAACTGGGGCTGCGTTCCCACTCGCTGCGTTCCCACTCGCTGTCAGCTGGAGTTCCGGGTGGGCGTGGTCTTGGCGGGCCCTGCACTTGGAGCAGCCAGCCAGCCCCGCCGGACCTGCCGGCCCTGGGCACTGAGGGGCTTAGCACCCGGGCCAGCCGCTGCAGAGGGTGTACCGGGTCCCCCAGCAGTGCCAGCCCACCGGCGCTGCGCTTGATTTCTCGCCAGGCCTTAGCTGCCTTCCCGCGGGGCAGGGCTCGGGACCTGCAGCCCGCCATACCTGAGACTCCCACCCCCTCCGTGGGCTCCAGTGCGGCCGGAGCATCCCCGACGAGCGTCGCCCCCTGCTCCACGGTGCCCAGTCCCATCCACGGCCCAAGGGCTGAGGAGTGTGGGCGCACGGCACCGGGACTGGCAGGCAGCTCCACCTGCAGCCCCGGTGCGGGATCCACTGGGTGAAGCCAACTGGGCTCCTGAGTCTGGTGGGGACGTGGAGAACCTTTATGTCTTAACTCAGGGATTGTAAATACACCAGTCTGGCACTCTGTGTCTAGCTCAAGGTTTGTAAACACACCAATCAGCACCCTGTGTCCAGCTCAGGGTTTGTGAGTGCACCAACCTTTGTATCTAGCTCAGGGATTGTAAACACACCAATGGGCGCCCTGTCAAAACAGGCCACTAGGCTCTACCAATCAGCAGGATGTGGGTGGGGCCAGATAAGAGAATAAAAGCAGGCTGCCCGAGCCAGCAGTGGCAACCCGCTCGGGTCCCTTTCCACACTGTGGAAGCTTGGTTCTTTCGCTCTTTGTAATAAATCTTGCTACTGCTCACTCTTTGGGTCCAGGCTGCTTTTATGAGCTGTAACACTCACCGGGAAGATCTGCAGCTTCACTCCTGAAGCCAGCGAGACCACGAGTCCACCGGGAGGAACGAACAACTCCAGACGTGCTGCCTTAAGAGCTGTAACACTCACCGCAAAGGTCTGCAGTTTCACTCCTGAGCCAGTGAGACCACGAACCCACCAGAAGGAAGAAACTCTGAACACATCCGAACATCAGAAGGAACGAACTCCAGATGGGCCACCTTAAGAGCTGTAACACTCACCGCGAGGGTTCGCGGCTTCATTCTTGAAGTCAGTGAGATCAAGAACCCACCAATTCCAGACACAGTTTCTCACTGGGTCTCACAACGTCATGTCCCCCTGCATTATATCTGTATTTTTACTCAAATTTATTTCTCATACTACCTTTTGCTATAAGGCTGGTGGAGCAGGTATTAGCCATGTTCACAATTGTTAATTTGGACTTAATGTAGATATACAATAGCAAACATTTTTTAAATCAGGGAAATGTATAATTAATCTTTATGCCCACAAAGTGTGAATACACAACCATTATGGATGGATTTTTGTCATCAAGATAAAAATCTCAAAGGTAGTGTTTCATTAAAAATTAGCCTTTCAATCTGCTGTGACATTAATGGGGCGTTGTAGGAAAATTGTGATTGATGCCTCACGCTATCAGTGACTACAGCGGTTACCTAATTGAATAATAGTGTTTTAAGGCAGAATAGAAATACCCAAGTTAGAATAGAATACCCACTATGAAAATAGATGTCTCTCCTTTTCTGGTAAAGTAGCTTCTAACAAGTAGCAGAATAAAATGAAACCCAAGAACACTCAGTCATATCAAAATCCTGATTAAGGCTGGGCATAGTGGCTCACACCTGTAATCCCAGCACTTTGGGAGGCCGAGGCAGGTGCATCACCTGAGGTCAGGAGTTCGAGACCAGTCTGGCCAATAGGGTAAAAACTTGTCCTTACTAAAAATACAAAAATTACCTGGATGTGGTGGCACGTGCCTGTAATCCCAGCTACTTGGGAGGCTGAGCCAGGAGAATCGCTTGAACCCAGGAGGCGGAGGTTGCAGTGAGCCGAGATCATGCCACTGCACTCCAGCCTGGCAAAAGAGTGAGAGTCCATGTCAAAAAAAAAAAAAAAAAAAAAAAAAGTCCCGATTAATACTTTGGCTCATTGAAGAACTTTTTATTTAATTTATTGTTTTCTTTATATCAGGTGGTTTAGATTATGGAAAATGTTTGGGGCTAAACAATATTAAAACTGTAGAAAGCTGAAGTCTGTGTTACATTTAAATTAAAAGATTTATGGAAATAATAATTATTAGGTCTTGCTCTGATAACTTCTATAAGCGTCTTAAAGGACTTGAATAATATTTGAGGGAAAGTAACAGACTGAAAATGCTACAGGGATTTGATACAAACTTCTATTCATTTCCTTGATACATTAAGATAAGAATCAATATATGCAAAATGTGATAAGCTTATTTAATGAAACCGAATGAATTTCTCTACAATATTCACATTGTGATTATATATTCTATTATTTTAACTATAAATTAATTTGTAACTATTTTTAAATTTTGCAGTAAAATGACTTAACTCATGGTGGTGGAAGTCTTTTTAATACCGCGTTAAAATAGGAAGAAAAAATGAGAAAAGTGTCTCTGATAGGGAGAATTTAATAGAATTTAATAGAATAGAGGGAATAGAAAATACTTACCAAATTTTAAAAGATTGGCAATTCTGATTGGCAATGGCCAGTGAATTTTAAGGTATAGGAAAGAACACGAGTCCAGGCACATAAAATTCTACTTTATGAGCAATGACACGTTTGGACTGGAAGATATATGACAAAGGTACAAAGTTAAGACTGTAACTGAGGTTTAAGTAAAATCCTGGTTGCACTGTCCAGAATTTGAGATTGCTTAGCTTTTCAGCAAGTAAAAACTAAGTAATCTCAACCTTCTTTCTCTTCCTGAACATATCGCTGGCCCATAAAATTCTGACGTATTTTTTTGGTGGTCTGGGCTTGTGGTTTTGGCGAATGAAATAAGGGTAAAAATTATATTTGCCATATAAAACTACATAAAGCCATAGTCTTGGGCTAATTAAATCTCATGTATGGTATTGTCTCTCTTCTCTCATTCTGATGGTTTCCAATGTCCAAGGTAAACTTTGGAACCAAGTTTTGAGATTAGAGAAATTCTGTCATATGAGTTTCTGAATTAATTTTGTCAAACTACTGTACAATACTCTGTTTCATCAAGGTTTACCTGTTATGGTAGCTAGCACAATTTTAAAGCACTGTTTTATATAGTCTCTGCTAAGTTATCAGATATTGGTGAACAAGTGAGATGTAACATTTTGCATTTTAGAAATACTTTTCTGTTAGTAGCATAAAGAATTTAAAGGAACAAAAGGCAGAAAGCCCTTACAGGACACTTTAAAACCAGAATAGACAATTCATTAGGGAAACTCAAACTAGAGAAAATGTAGTGATACTTTTTTAAAATGCAGTGAATTCATATATTAATCCATTACCTCCAGCATAATTTTCTTTTTTTTTTGAGACAGAGTTTTGCTCTCTTTGCCCAGACTGGAGTGCAATGGTGCGATCTAGGCTCACTGCAACCTCTGCCTCCCAGGTTCAAGTGATTCTCCTGCCTCAACCTCCCAAGTAGCTGGTATTACAGGCGCCTGCCACCATACTCAGCTAATTTTTTTGTATTTTTAGTAGAGACGGGGTTTCACCATGTTGGCCCAGGCTGGTCTCGAACTCCTGACTTCAAGTGATCCTCCTGCCTCAACCTCCGAAAGTGCTGGGATTACAGAAGTGAGCCATCATGCCAGGCCAATAGTTGCTATTTTTTAATGTTATTTTAGAACATACCAGAAGCCACTTCAATTTTAAATGAATGAAATCGCTTCATATAGCTAAGTTGGGAAGAATGTAAGTCTAGCCAGTAAGAAATAGCATTCTGTGGAACTTATACAACTACATACTGTTGGAGTGACTGCCCTGGAGTGCTTTTGCTAAAAGAGAAAAAGTATATCTGAAAGTTAAAGACAAGTGTGGGATAGTAAATTGTGGAAGGGAAGAATTCTTAACAATTAAAATAATTACAAATGTATCTCTAAAAAGAATTTTAAAAGACTAACCACAGATAAAACCACTATGCTTATTTTTGTTTTCTTTTAATTTTATTTTTGTATAGTGAGTAAAATATATGTCTTTTTTGGTAAAAATAATAACAAGAAACAAGAAAAGTGAACTCTACTGAGAAATTATAAATCTCTGAAACTAATATTTATTGTTATTTAGAGACTTAATATGGAAGATGTGTTATTTTTGCAATACTGAAGCTCCTGAAGGTGTAAAAGATATTCATACCAATATGGCAGCATGAAAGAATCCACATACTTGTTACTCAATACTGGGATAGAAATATCCTCAAACCTTCCAAAGCAACTAACTTTTATTTAACGTTAATATTTGCCAGTTATTGTTAAAAATATGTAAACACAATTTTTAGCAATCATAGTTAAAAATACAGTCTCAAATTATTTAATTGCCTCAATAATCAGTATATTAGGTTAAATATATTTTATATATATTTATGTATATATATTATAGCTGGACTGCTATATCCTCTGATGATACAATAGAATTTTCTATATATATCTTGAATTTGTAGTTTGAGAAATGTGCCACTGTTAGACATTACTTGGCAGTTAATAACTAACTGGATTAAGAGCTCTCAGTTTGAACACCTGGGGATATTTAGTGCCAAAAATTGTTCTTGGCTTATGCCCACCTTAACCATTATTGTTTAAGGAGATATGCAATGTGATGATTTTTTATTATAAAAAATGTATTATAAGAACTCTAAACAATTATCTCTACATATTATTATTAAAGATTTCATACTTATAAATATTTTAATACAATGTATATTAAATAAATATGTATAAATAATAAGTAGTATACAATCCATTATCTGATATACTTTGATAAAACATTTTATCATTATCTAATCTCTAATATTATCTTGATGAATTTTTCCCTTCAAATTGTTTTTCAGTCCAGTCAAATTCTAAATCACCTATTTATTTGGATTTCGTAAAGATACTGTGTTTATTAAAGTTCTCATACAAGATTTAATTGAGAAGCTAATATTACTTTGACCTTATTAATAAATAGCTTAAAGCTCATACTAAGACATTTAGGATTTGTTAAGCTATTTTATTAAATGTTGACTTTGAGTAATTGTTTTTTCTTGTGATTTCATTATTAAATTTTGGGTTATGGAGCAAATTCTCCAAGTTATTTATTATACACACACACTCACTTGTGCATTGTGTACATTTAGTAGGCAAGGCTATGTAAAACATGAATGTAAATCACTCAAGACAAGGGAGAGAGTGTTAGGAAAAGAACACACATACTGAAATATAATAATTCAGATGAAGAGAAATAATTTCTTGGAATAAAACTATGTATCTAAATATTTTTTCAGCTGTCATTAAACAATTACAGTTTTGAGTAGGTAGAAAATACGTAAATCAAAGATACCAATTCTTCAAATGTTCTCTATGCATTTTACTCAGCCTCAGGTTCATATGTGCCTCAAGATCCAATGGTGACTCTCAGAGATAAGAGCATACCAGATCTCTCTAGAAATTTCTCCCTTCATTTGTTAAAGAAAATAAAGTTTAATATCTTAAACCATAAGATAACACAACTTGCAGTTTTTAACTGTAAAGAGGAAAAATGATGAAAGTATTGCTAACTTGACAGAAGACTTTTCTTTGACTTTTACCAAAAGGGGCCATGAAGTAATATTCATTCAGTCTTACTTCTTGTTTGATTCAGTCTTGTTTCTTGTTTCATTAAAAGTAATGGCAAAAACCGCAATTACTTTTGCAACAACCTAATTAAATAACCATGGCTTGAATTAATCTCTAAAAATACTTCAGTGAAATTTTTCTCTAAAAATAATAGAATTAAGACAAAAAGTAAATAATAGAGCCCTTCTACAAACCTCTGAATTCTTTCTGAAAAGACAGTCAAATTTCTCCAGTGACAGATTTCTATTCAGCACTATATTCTGTGGGAATAAACTTTTTCCAGCCAATGTACACTTAAAAGAAGGGAAATACTTGCAAGGGATGTTCCAGCCTGCCTTATAAAAATACAAAAGAGCAGAGTTCGCAACGACTAACCTGCATCATTGCTTTGTCCTTTATTATGTCACTAGCGAACACATAAATACCTTATTTTTTACACTCCGGCCTTTTCCCAATGCAAAATTTGGGTTTTCCTCTTCTGATTCACTCAAGACAATACAAATGAATTATTGAAGATTTAGAAATATGTAAAAATAAAAATGTTTTAGCAAGAAAACAGAACACTTGCAATATTTCAGGCAAATATGTAAACCTTATATAATCACAAGATTTGTGTATTTTTACAAAGTTTATATTTCATTCCTAAACGAAGCATTAGAGAGTGCTTCCTTTTATTTTTACCTAACAACTTTAGTGAAAGAAAATTCATACATCATAAAACTCACTCATTTAAATTATATTTAATATTTTAGTATGTTTTTCAGACTTGTGCAATTAGCATCATAATCTAAGCTTAGACCTTTTTTATCAATTCAAAAATATGTCTCTTACCCTTTAGAAGTTCTAAGCAACTGCTAGTCTACTTTCTGTCTCTATATGGACATTTCTTATTAATGGAAACAATATGTGGTCTTTTGTGACTGGTTTCTTTACCTTTGCAAAATATTTTTAAATTCATCCACAATATGACATGTATCTGTACTTCATTACTTTCATTGAAATAGTAATATTCAGTTATATGGATATACCATTAGAGAGTATCAGATGGATATACTGATATCAATATGGATATACTATATTTTATTAACCCATTCATTATTTAACAGAAAATTGGGTGAAGGAAACCAAAATGTTCCTCTTTCAAATGCTGCAGATTTTAATTAAAGAAAAAGGTTAAAACGCAGGGACACACTCTGCCCTTCCTCTCTGCCTTTTCTACCTAAAGGAAGGCTCATTTACAACAGTTGCTTATCAGCTCAGAAACAGAGCTCAGGGACAGCAGCACCAGAGGATCCAGGAAAAGACTCACTCTTCCATTAAAGTCACCTTCCTACATGTTCACACCTATTGGAAGCCTGAAGATACTCTCTGACCTTGTCACTATATAGAATTTATGGCTATTTGTTAAAATACTATTTAAGCAGGGCCCCTAAGCCATTGTCTTGAGAAAGAAGTAATTTTGAACTGAGGGCTCTCCTGCATGATGGGTATGCCACACATTAATAAACCTGTTTGTTTTTCTTTTGTTATTAATAAACCTGTTTGTTTTTCTTTTGTTAATCTGACTTTTCAGATTTTTGTTTTCAGGAGAGTGTCTCAACTAAGAACCTAAAACGAGAAAGAAAAGAAATTATAATTTTTCCCCTACACGGGTTATTTGCAATTTGTGGTCATTACAAATAATACTGCTATGCACAATAATGTACAAGTTTTCTTGTGTAGATATGTTTTCATGTCTCTTGGGTACATACCTACCCAAGTGAAATTTCTGGGTCATAAGTTAACTGTCTATTTAATATTTTGAGGAACTGGAAAACTGAATTCAAAATATCCTGTGTCATTTTAAAACCCCATCAGCAATGTGGGAGGGTTCAAATATATTGAAATCCTCAAGAACACGTTCCAACCTAGTGATTGTAGTTTCTTAAGTTCCACCTGCTGTTCTCAGTGAATCTGCTTTTCTGGGCAGTGGGGAAGATGAACCCATCAGGAGATTACAATTAGATATATGACTTAAAGAGGATTTTTGTCCAATTCTGTGTTGTCTTTGCACTTCATGATGTTGTTTGAAGACAAAGATTTTTAACTCTGAAGAAGTCCAATTTGTTTATTTTTAATATTCGTATGTTTTTCTAAGTGCTTTATAGTTTAAGCTCACATTTAGATTTCTAATAACCTTGAAATAATCTTGTATACAGTGTGAAATAAAAAATCATTGTCATTATTATTATTATTTTGCTTGGATATCAGGCTTTCCCAGCAGTATTTGTTGAAAAGACTATCCCCTCCCAAATATTAGTTTTAACACCCTGCCCAAAATCAACTGACCATGGATGTGTGGGCTGAATTATAGACTTTCAGTTCCATACAGTATATCCACATATCTATTCAGTATATCTACATATGTATCAGTATATCTACATATCTATCAGTATATCTACATATCTATCCTGATACCAGTACTACACTGTTTTGATTATAGTAATTGTATAATTATGTATAATTAATGAAATCAAGCTATGTGAACCCTCTAACACTGTGCTTCTTTTTAAAGATTGTTTTGGCTATTTGTATTCCTTTGCAATTACATATGAATTCTGGCATCAATTTGTCCATTTCTGCAAAGAAGCTGTTGGATATTGATAGAGATTTCAATGAATCTGTAGATCAATTTGGGAAGTAATGACACCTTAATAATGTTGTTTTCTAATCCATCAACATAAAATTTTTTCCTATTTATTTAGTTCTTTTTTTAATGTTTTATTGTTTTCAGTGTACAAGACTTCTACTTTTTTGGTTAAATTTATTAACAAAAGTACTTTAATCTTTTTGATAAGATTGTAATAAAATTGTTTTCTAAATTTTACTTTCTGAATGTTATGCTTGTATATTGACTGTGTACCCTACAATTTTGCTGAACTCATTTCTTATATCTAATAGTTTTTAGTGTATGATTCTTGAGTTGTTATATGCAAGATCATGGCATCCACAAATATAGTATTACTCCTTCCTTTCTAATATGGATGCTATTTATTTATTTTCCTTACTTTATTGCCCTTATTAGAACTTACAGTGCCATGTTAAACAGAACTGGTGAAGGAAACCAAAAATTTTACCCTAAAGTATACTTCTTTAACATATTTCAGGATGGCTATTCAGAAGAGCTGAAAAAAAAACTAAAGCTAAAATGCTGCCTCTTGTGGAGATTTGCATCTGCCGAGAAAATAAATTGAAGAAAACAACAGATGCAAACAGTCTTTCTCTGAAGTCTGCCTTGTCCAAATACAGGAGAGATTAATTGAGAGCCTGACATCTTCAAAAGTCTGACAGAAATATTTATCATCTATTTTTACTAAGGGCTATTACCTGTGAGATTTCATCTACACAACAAGACCACCTTTTCCCTATGCTTATCTTCCTCTTCTCTCCCTCCGATAACCTGTTTTGCCAATATCTGTCTTTGCCACAGTTCAAGTTCCTGTTCTTTTTGTAACGTTAAGATAGTAGAAAAGCACCAGGCATCCTGCCTTTGAGTTTTTAGATTTTGTACATCTCTCATACACAAGAGTGTATGTTATAAAATTTGTATGCCTTTTTTTCCTGTTAGTCTATTATCAGTTTTTTTAGTAGACTCAAGTTATCACATCTTAAACGTCTCTACATTTCCAAGAGTGGATATCCTTGTCTAATGTTGGGGAAAAACTTTTTTCACCATTAAGTATGATGTTAGTTGTTGGTTGTTTGCAGATGCTTTTTAACATATTGAGGAAGATGCATTGTATTCAAAGATTATTGAGTAGTTTTTAGTCTCATTTGGCAAATTTTCAGTCATTATTATTTGTAATTTATTTTTCATTTCTTTTTCTCTCTCCTATCCCTCTGCTCTTCCAATTTTGCATATACTACTGTGCTCAACGATGTCCTAGTTCCTCTGAGATT
Source organism: Homo sapiens (assembly GCF_000001405.40). Classification (NCBI taxonomy): domain Eukaryota; kingdom Metazoa; phylum Chordata; class Mammalia; order Primates; family Hominidae; genus Homo; species Homo sapiens. The sequence goes on along the minus strand of NC_000003.12, from coordinate 164,392,636 downwards.
TTATTTTCTTTAATGCCTTATTCTTTCTGTTCTTCAAATTGTAAAATGTATATATTGAACTACCTTCAAGTTCATTGATTCTTTCTTGTACCAGCTCCAATCTACTGCACAGCTTCTCTAGTAATTTTTTTTTACTTTGGTTATTTTACTTCTTTAGAATTTCCATTTTAAAATAGTTCCTAACTCTTTAATGATATTCTCTATTTAATAACTGTTTAGTATTATACCATTAATTATTTAAATATAGCTTCCTTTAGTATTTGCAACATATTTATTATAGGTTCTTTGAAGTCCTTTTGTGCAGTCCAACATCTAGCTCTTCTCAAAAACAGTTTTTGGTGCCTGATTGTACCTGTGCATGGGTCATATCTTCCTGATTCTTTGCAAGTCTCTTTTTTTTGTTGTTGCTAAAATGAGAGTTTTTGTATAACATTTTGCAGCAACTCTGGATACTGATTCTTTTCCCCAGGGCTTGTAGCTATTATCATTTGCTTATTTGCTTTTTTGTTTGTTTTAGTGATTGGCTTGGACTAACTCTGTGAAGACTATTTCCCTGCTAGTGTGGTCTCTGCTGATTCTGATATGATTGCCTTTTTCCATGTTTTTATATTTAAGCCTAATATTTTAGGGATTGCCTCTGAGATAGCCCAGTAGTTTTGTGATCAGCTGCTCATTAGTCAGAATTTGTGCTGAAGATCCTCGAGTCAGTAATATTTTCACATACTACTTTTGAAACTGTATGTGTCTTGGAGAGTGCTTTCACAGCTTAGGGAGTTTATAATAGAAATAACTTTTATCTCAGAAATGTGAGTTTTTTTTGTTGTTGTTGTTTGTTTGTTTGTTTTTTAATTATCAGGCCCAGGGGAGAGATATTAAAACGAGAAAACAGTTCTTCCTGTTTTTCCCCTGAGCTATGTATTTATCACTTGACACTGTTTGCTATTGTCTTTAGTATGTATAAATTAACCTAATAGTGCCCTATCCAACACTTAAACGTATGCTCTGTGGCTTAACAATGCATAGCCAATCATATCAGTGAGAGTCATATTGAAAATATTAAGCCTATGTTTACCCTTTATTTGACAAAGGATTATTGATTAAAAAGTAAATTTAAACATTTTGGAATTAAAAAAAAATTCTGCTCTTACAAATCACACAAGATGTAAAAATGCAAATTTAATAATGAACTAAATACTAAGGTAAATGTGGCCTTGTTATAACAGTTTATAAAACATTAGTGCACTTTGAGTCACTGCATTCCAGTACTACAGATTTTCAATCTTGATTATCATTATTTAGCAGAGAAATTTCCTACTGCAGTTATTATTATTTTACCTCCATCCTCCTAAAAAGCAAAACAAACAAACAAAAAAACAAAAGCACTGTGATTATCTGACCACATGTGAGATGTGAGATTAAATTCTGAAATAAAATATTTTCTTCAAACCTTCTGTACTTTTCTACTAAAGGAAACACTTAATCATGCATATCTTCATAACTTTTTATATTTAAAAAGTTACAAAAATTATCATTATATTATCATTATATTATATTTTATATTAAAAATGTTACAAAAATTTTTGTAATGTCAAATATCTGAAGTACTTCAAATTGTTGAAAATTACCAAGATTTGAATAATGAAATTAAAAATTGAATATATTCAGTATGTTAATGGCAAATTCCCAATTAATATTATATTTTGATTAATGACTAGGTAAATAATATATTCAATATTTAATATTTATTTGTTTTAAAAATGTCAAGCATAATATGTATTTGAATACGGCAATTTTCCATGCAGTATCTTCCTAGAGTGTTTTCAATATCTAATTAAATATATCATTAAATATGAAGTATCTCAAAAATTGCCTGTTAATTATCAAAAAGAAATCATTCATTGAAACTTACTAATTACATGATAATGATATCCAATATTTTATTGACATGTATATGCAATAATAGATTTGTTACCACAGAAAGGAAATCAAACAAATTCTGAAGGTTTAACATATTAATTGTGGAAATAGAAAGCAAATTAAGTACCTTCTTTTCAAAACTCCCTAGGCTGAAATGCTAAAAAACTATATGTATTATTTTTTTAAATTATATTGTTTTGATCTTGAATAGTATTGCTAAATCTATGTATTTCTAAAGAGTAATTGAAACTGAGAATAACTATAAGAATGTAACATTAACTAATGTTTGTGGGAACAATGGAAACTATGATTCCTAATAAATGTCATCATGAGAGTAAAATTGAGTATGTTACACTGATTGAAAAATTATTTGCATTATAGTAAGTGTTCACTATAGTTGCAATTGCATTTCCTTACCACTAGTCTTAAAAGTACTTTTAGTTTAGCTTTGTTTTTGTACTTTAACTTACAAAGATAGTTTCATAGATGCTAATGTTGGGAGAATATAATTGAAAACAAAACCTCTTCCAACCCAGAAGTCCCCTGTACAAAGGTAGTAGAAAAAGAAAATAGCTCTATAAAAAAAAAAAACAAAAAACACTTAAACCAGAATGTGACCACCTCATAAAAAATCCTCCAAGACAGAAAGATATTTCACACTCTTATGAAGCCAAGTAAGTAAAATCAATTACATATAAGTCTTTAAGATAATAATAACTAGCATTGAAGTAAGAGAACTTGATAGCACCATTTGTCACTTGGGGTTTATCATAGATTTACCTGGTAATTAGGGTACTAATCTTTGTTTGCTAAGTAGCTTTATTCATAGGAAAAATAGAATTCTCATATCTTTATGATAATAGGTATTTTTGCAACTTAGAGCAAGGTGTCCACCAAAGTTAGGCTCTTACCCTCCTACAGAATCAGAGATAGGGAGAGCTCTTCCCTGTGTTTACATTTCAAAGATATGGTTGCAGTGTCTTTGAGAAGACATTCTTGGGTCTACAGCTGACAAAAGGCCTATCTAAATTTCAAAAGAGTTTTTGTACATACAAAAAGAGAGGACAATTTATTCACAATTTTAGGTTTTCTCAAGTATAAAGTCTAAGAAAATGGAAGAGAAGTGAATCTCTTCTATTTATTTTCAATAGGTAGAATTACACCTTTGTCTAGAATTTTGATTTGTCCTAATACTGTATAAGAAAAAAATGCTTTCTTGAAATTTTCTGTGGTCTTAACATGCCCACTTAAAAACTATATATTCCATAATTATTGCACAATGAAACTGATGTTTGATATGGTTTGGTTCTGTGTCCTCACCCAAACAACACCTTGAATTGTAATCCCCCTTATCCCCATATGTCAAGGGTGGGACCAGGTAGAGGCAATCTGATCATGGAGGCAGTTTCCCCCGTGCTGTTCTCCTGATAAGTGATAGTGAGTGAGTCTCATGAGATCTGATAGTTTTAAAAGTGTCCCCAATTTCCCCTGCTTGTACCCATTCTCTCTTCTGCCTGTCTGTGAAGAGGTGCCTTCTGCCATGATTGTAAGATTTCTGAGGCCTCCCAGCCATGTGGAACTATCAGTCAATTAAAGCTCTTTTCCTTATAAATTACCCAGTCTTGGGTACTTCTTCATAGCAGTGTGACAACAGAATAACACAGTACATTGGTAGGCATTGCTATAAAGATACCCAAAAATGTGAAAGAAATTTTAGAACTGGGTGACAGGTAGAAATTGGAACAGTTTAGAGGGCTCAGAAGAAGAAAAAAGATGTGGTAAAGTTTGGAACTTCCTAGAGATTTGTTGAATGGTTTTGACCAAGATGCTGACAGTGATGTGAACAATGAAGTACAGGCTGAAGTTGTCTCAGATGAAGATGAGGAACTTGTTGGGAATTGGAATAAAGGTGACTCTTGCTATGCTTTAGCAAAGAGACTGGAGGCATTTTGCCCCTGCGGTCAAGATGTATGGAACTTTGAACTTGAGAGAGATGATGTAGGGTATCTGGCAGAAGAAATTTCTAAGTGGCAAAGCATTCAAGGGGAAGCAGAGCATAAAAGTTTGAAAATTCACATCCTAATGATGCCATAGAAAAGAAAAACCCATTTTCTGAGAGGAAATGCAAGCCTGCTACAGAAATTTGCATAAGTAATGAGGAGATGAATGTTAATCACCAAGACAAAGGGCAAAATGACTTCAGGGCATGTCACAGATTTTCACAGCAGCCCCTCCCATTATAGGCCCAGAGGCCTGGGAGAGAAAAATGGTTTCATAGGCCATGCCCAGGGAACCCCTGCTCTGTCCAGCCTAGGGACATGGTGCCCTGCATCCCAGCTGCTTCAGCCCCAGCCATGGCTAAAAGGGGCCATGGTACAGCTCCAGCCATTACTTCAGAGGGTGCAAGCCTCAAGCCCTGGTGTCTTCCACATGGTTTTGAGCCTGTGGGTGCACAGAGGTCAAGAATTGAGGTTTGGGAACCTCTGCCTAGATTTCAGAAGATACGTGGAAATTCCTGGGTGACCAGGCAAAGGTTTGCTCTAGGGGTGGATACCTTATGGAGAACCTCTGCTAGTGCAGTGCAGAAGGGAAATGTGGGTTTGAAGCCCCTACACAGAGTCCCTACTGGGGCACTGCCTAATGGAGCTGTGAGAAGAGAGCCACTGTCTTCCTGACCCCAGAATAGTAGGACCACACACAGCTTGCACCACATGCATGGAAAAGCCACAGATACTCAATACCAGCCTGTGAAAGCAGCTGGGATGGGACTTGTACCCTTCAAGGCCACAGGGACAGAGTTGCCCAAGGCCATCAGAGTCCACTTCTTCCATCAGCATGACCTGGATGTTAGACATGGAGTAAAGAAAGATCATTTTGGAACTTTAGGGTTTAATGACTGCCCTGTTGGATTTTGGACTTGCATGGGGCCTATAGCCCTTTGTTTTGGTCAATTTCTCCCATTTAGAATGTGTATATTTACCCAATACCTGTACCCCCATTGTTTCTGGGAAGGAACTAACTTGTTTTTGGTTTTACAGGCCCATAGGTGGAAGGGACTTTTTTTGTTGCAGATGAGACTATGGACTTGGACTTTTGGGTTAATGCTGGAATTAGTTAAGAGTTTGGGGGACTCCTGAAAAGGCATGATTGTGTTTTGAAATGTGAGGATATGAGATTTGGGAGGGGCCAGGGCAGGATTATATGATTTGGCTGTGTCCCCATCCAAATCTCACCTTCAACTGTAATCCGCATAATCCCCATATGTCAAGGGAAGGACCAGGTGGAGATAATCAGATCATGGGGGTGTTTCCCCCATGCTGTTCTGCTGATAGTGAGTTAGCCTCACAAGATCTGATGGTTTTAAAAGTGCCTGGAATTTCCTCTGCTTGCATTCATTCTCTCTCCTACTTCCCTGTGAAGAGATGCTTTCTACCATGATGGTAAGTTTCCTGAGGCCTCTACTGCCATGCAGAAGTGTAATTCAATTAAACCTCTTTTCTTTATAAATTACCCAGTCTCTGGTATTTCTTTATAGCAGCATGAGAACAAACTAGTACAAAGTTATTTCTCTTTAAAAATAAAATAAGAAATATTTTTAAAGTACTTCTCTTCTTTCCAAGAACAGATTGGAATTCACTGATTTACCACAGTTCTTTAAAGTTTTTATGAAATGTGTGTGATTTTTATACTACATATTTTAATAAAATTATTTTCCATTTTAACAATGGGAAGAAATTAAATATCTAAAAGGTCATTTGACCCTTTAAAAATTAGGCACTTATAAAACTTAAATTATTTACCTTTTAAATTGCAATGATTTTTTTTTTCTTTTTTTTGGTATACTGGTCCAACTAATGATTAAAAGACAAGGATAGTTTACCTATACTATGTGTTAAAGAGGTTTACCCTTGGGGAAGAAAAACTATTTAAATGTGGTTCCAAGAAGAAATGTAAATGTTTAGTACATAGCAAGAATGGCAAAAATATAGAAACAATTGCCATGCCATTGTTTTTTTTTTTTTAAAGAAGGCATACTAGCTCCTTCTTTAGTAACTCACCTACAAGAATGTAAGAAAGGAATAGGGTAGTGTCTTAGACTGTTTCGTGTTGCTATAGCAGAATGCCTGAATATGTGTAATTTATAAAGAAAAGAGGTTCATTTGGCTCATGGTTTTATAGACTAGGAAGTTCAAAGGCATGGTGCCAGCATCTGCTCAGCTTCTGGTGCTATGTCACAACATAGCGGAAGGTCAAAGGGAGGCAGATACATACAAGCAGGGAAAACCCAAGGGGCATTCTCATTTTATAAAAATTCATTCTCTCAGGAATTAACTCATTTCCAGAAGAACTAATCCAGGCTCTCCAGAGTGAGAACGTACTCACTACCTTGAGAAGGCACCCAGCCATTCATGAGGAAATCCACTTCCACAACCCAAAGACCTCCCACTAGGCTCCAGCTCCAATGTTGCCACAATCAAATTTCAATATAAATTTTGGCAAAGACAAACCATAGCAGGTAGTTAGCAAGTAGTACTATAAAATACTCTCTTTTCTTTTTCCTCTTTTGCAACATTTTCTTGGCTTTGAAAAAGTCAGTAATGTTAGTATTTGGAAGAGACATATGCATACACACACACACACACACACACACAATTATCTTTGTGATATAAATTAAACAGATTTTTTTTCTGGGGATACTCACTACTACAAAAATCAGCACTATAATTCTTCCTTATTCTTCTATCATTCATTTTAGAAAAAAGAGATGACAAAAACTCTGTTATATATGGCCCAACCTTTCTAGATTGGCCAAGAGTCTGCATTGGGGAAGACTATTAGCTTGTTTTGTTTTAAACTATTCTTTTTATGTAGTGTTATCATGGTATAACACTTTAGATTAAACATGGTGAGATGAGCCTAATTAAATTTTCAGAATAAGTCAGATCTTCATTTTATTTATTTAATTATTTATATTGTTTTATTTTTTTACTTTTATTTTACATTCAGGGGGTATATGCGCAGGTGTGTTACCTGGGTATATTGCATCATACTGATGTTTGGGGTACATATGATTTCTGTCATTCTATTTTATTTTAATATGCTTTATTATTGAACATTTTTATTTTTTGAGATGGAGTTTTGCTCTTGTTGCCCAGGGTGGAGTGCAATGGTGCAATCTCGGTTCACTGCAACCTCTGCCTCCTGCATTCAATGATTCTCCTGCCTCAGCCTCCCAGGTAGCTGGGATTACAGGTGCCTGCCACCGTGCCTGGCTATTTTTTTTTTTTTTTTGTATTTTTAGTAGAGATGGGGTTTCAGCACGTTGGCCAGGCTAGTCTCGATCTCCTGACCTTAGGTGATCCACCTGCCCCGGCCTCCCAAAGTGCTGGGATTACAGGCATGAGCCATTGCACGCAGCCAACAATTTTTATTATGTGAAAATCAACTAATTGTTAATGTAAAAAAGCATCTTTAACTGCTACAGCACTTTAATTTGGCATCTTTTGAGACAAATAAATTGAACAAACAAAATTAAAATTGTCAAATTTTACTATTGCTTAAGTTCTACATATTATCCCAGAGAATTTATTTTTAATTAAAAAAATGGAAAATCAGCTGATATCTACTGTATCAATTCTACTGTAACAAATTAATTCTGATATCCAAGGCTCACTATGTTTTTTAAGCTTCCTGATACTTCTTGGTTCTATTTGAAGGTAGAGAATTTGGTAATGTAGAAAGACTCAAAAGTATATTCCATAAGACTTATTATTTCCTTGACCTTATACTCTTATATTTGTGAAAGGTATTTCAACAAATGGACACAGTAGTTTCTAAATAAAAGGAAAACATAGTATCATTTTGTCAATGATGGTTCATTGATGCCATTCAAATTTACCACACTCAGTGTATTGCACTAGGGAAATTGTCTTAAAGAAACACAAATATTAACCCTGTTTAAAAAATAAATATGTATTGCATTAATTGAAAATAATTGGAAAAGAAAAAACTGTAACCTATGCTTTTTTCATTATGATTCTTTCACTGTGACTTTTAAACATTGCATTTAATAAGTTATCACTTTGGTTCAACAACAATTTTCATAAATTATGTTTATCCAGGATATATACCAGTCGTCATTGTCATGTATTCTCTGAGAGAATTCAAAATAGAGTGGGTTAGGTTAATTTCTTATTGAGGAGGCTTCTGAACCTCTAATTAAATTTCAGGGACAACAGCCAAAATTTCTGGCATATGACCTATAGTTGTAAATACACATTATCCTGAATAAAAGGAGAATTAATTTTTTGAATTATAATGAAGATAAACAATTGAAAATAAAGCCAGTCATGCAGGGAAGATAATCTCATTAAATATTTATATTTCATTAATGTCAGCATTTTAAAATTTTCTCCTATTTCAATAAAAATTAAGTTCTTATTACTCTGCAGTAATAACAGCAATGGCTGAATTTGAGAACAAATGGCTTAGATGCTTACCCTTCAGTTTTATAGAACAGAGTTTCTATTTGTTTAAGTTTCTATATGAAAATATTAATGTGCTATGAATATTAAGCTAATGAACTGGTAGAAGTAACTTGATGATTTGACATAAATGTTTTATCTAAATATGTTTTGTTTTCTAATTATATAGAATTAAAGATAAAATCCATTATTTAAGAAAGACTAAGATCTTCAAGCACAGGCATACAGGCAATTTTTACCTAGTTTTTCAAATGTAAAATTTTGTTAAAATGAATTTTAATGCTTCTGTTATTGGTTAATAGATAATTCCTGATTTCAGAAGCTAGCATGCCTAATGAGATGATGGTTTCAAATTTATAGGTCAGCTGTAGTTATTGTTATATAAGGAAGATTGCATTCATTATAAAACATGCATATTATATACATCAGATTCTGGAAATAACAGCAAATAGAAATTAATAAAATTATTTTAATAGAGAATATCAGGTAAAACTCCAGACAAGTTGATATTGCACTTAGTTTTTCTCCCAATATTTGTGTACTTTAACCATCTCTGTCTTCTATTCCTCTTCATTCTGATTTATAAGACCCTATTCTATCTTCCTCTACTCACTTCTGAGATCATACATTCATAGCTTTAACTGTCAAAGCCATTGTGAATGATCTCTGAAGAAACCCAACTACTCTAAATTTTCACTTGTATGTTTACAGGAATTTCTAGAAGACTTTAGAAATCATCATTCTGAATTCTTACTTTGCTTTGGGCAGCTAAAGCAGAATACCTGAGACTGGGTAATTTATAATGAGTAGAAATTTATTTCTCACAGTCGGAAACTCTAAGATCTCATAGTCTGAAAGTCTAAGATCCAGGGGCCAGCATCTGGCAAAGGCCTTCTTGCTGCATCATTCCATGGCAGAGAGGGTGAAAGAGGGCCAAGCTTGTTCTTTTCCAGTGGCACAAATCCCACCCATGTGAATAGAGTCCCCCTAGCCTAATTACTTCTTAAAAGTCACACTTCTTAATACTGTTACTTTGATAATTAATTTTCTAAATGAGTCTTGGACGGGACAAACATTCAAACCACAGAAGTTTCCCTATATTTCAAAGACAACATGAGAAAAACATAGAAACACTTCTCAGCAAACCGCCTTCCACTTCACAATTATATGGTTCTATAAATGGCATTGCCATTCTTTATGTTTGTTCTTCCTTTAACAGTCCTTCTTTTTAATATGTCATTAAATCTTACTATTCTGTCTAATGAATTCATTCCCCCATTTTTCTTTTTACTCCAGTCACCAATTTTCTAGATCTTCTGCATCCTATGTTTTCCAAGGTGCTTTTCCCAATATTTCTTTTTCTGTTCTCATAACTACTCTATGTATGTAATGTAAATAAACTTTATAGAATATTCTACTTAAAAATAAATCATTCATTAAAAATAACAATAAAAATTGTCATTTATTGAATAATTGTTATATTTCAAATACCGTAGTGGACATTAAAGTACATTATCATATTTAAATGTCACACTTTTGAATTGTTATTAATGCAATTTACAGATAAATTTGGGAGCCTACAAAATTCATGTAGCATATCCAAAACCGAGTTAATAATGAAAATCTTCTGTTGATTACTCTCCCGTAATGTGCATAGTCAAAGGGCTTTTTATTACCAACTATAGCAAATTCAGTGTTTTACTTATAAAGCATGATTTTCAAAGAAATGTATGACTCTCAAGCAAACGGAAAGTGAACACATGCCAAAAGTTTTACTTAACTCATTAATTAATGAGGGAATCAGTAAGATCTCATGATGGTGCAAAGAGCATGACCGAAACTAACATATACAGACAATTTAACAAAGTCATGTTAAGATATATTTTTCTGAAACAGTTTGATGTCTACAAGGTCATGTATCTTTACAGTTATCTCTTCCACTGTACAGAAATTACTTGTATCTCTGTTAGTTGAATATCCAGAAGCTAGCTAGGAACTTCCAAATGTCTAAGAACTTTAATGAATAGTGATTAATGGCATAAGCGAAATACATTGCCCTAGACTAGCACAGAGAAATAAAACTATATTGCAAGCTGTACACATAATTTTGTTTTTTAGTAAACACATTTTAAAAAGATAAAATTAAGTTTAATAGTATTTTTTTGTAAACTAATGCATCCAAAATATTGTCATTTCACCATTTAATTAACATAAAAAATTAAAAAGATATATATACTTTTTTTACACTAAGTCTTACGAACCTAGTATATGTTTTAAGTAGGATCTCTTTATTAGGACAAGTCATAAAGTACATAATAGCCACATGTGGTTAACTGCTATTTTACTGGCACAGTGTGACCCCAAATCCTTGAGGTGCCTGTCCCCTTGTATGATATACCACCCCTCTTTTATGGCCTTGTTTTACAAGTTTCTGACAATTTATCTGGCAGGGAAAACTTTGAACACCATCTATAAGGATGAAATTCATTTGTCTCTAATAATTACTTATCAGTCCTTAAAACTCAGGTCAACTCAATCCTGAAATATCACACAAGCCAGGCCAATTCTCACTGAACCTTTATCACTCATATTGTTCTTCCATTATGCTGAGAAATTTTCGAGTGCTAACTGCTTTAAATGTATCATCTCATTTAATCGTTTCAATGGTCTCATGAGCTGAGTATAATATTATTCCTATTTTACAGATGAGAAACACAAGGCATAGGAGGTTAAGAAACTTGGCAAAGGTCACCAATGTAGCATGTGGCAGAGCTGGAATTTCAATCCAGCCATTGTGTCTCTAAATTTTTCTATTTCACTTTAATGCTTTAGGATACCACTCCAGCTAGTATTAACAGATGATTTTATGGGCTTAGAGTGTGTTTATATTGAATGCTACATAATTTAGCCCTTACTTTTATATAACTATCATAGCTGAACCATTCCTCTTCTCCGTGTTTTATTACAAGCTCTATAAACACTAGGGTCATAATTTGTTTTCACCAACAGTAGGCATTGCCTAGACTAAGAATCTGCCAGGCAAACACGTGGATGCATATTATGGTTAAAGCTCCATACTGTCTTCTTTAGAGCTGATACTTACCTTGCCTACATTAAAATGCCAAATAATAACTTCACATCTGGGTGAGCTATGATCAGGGAAAATATAACTTGCAAGGAAAATATGATTAAATAAGCAAATCAAGTTGTTCCAAAAGGCTATTAGCAAGAAGGAATCAAGAATATTGAGACCAATCAAAACTGGTAAGAACATTTTTCTTCCTGCTCTAAGGCCTATGCTTGATTTCTGATTGGTATGTGATCAAAAAGTTATTGAGTATGGCATACTAGAAAAGGGAAGTAAAGGAAATCAATGATAGAAGTAAAGTGATTAAACTTAAACATACTGTTTCATTTAGCCATTACCTTTAAGCATACACATTGCTTCCGTCAGTTTTCACAATTTACTTAGAGTCTAGAGAACATTGGTTACCACATTTTTATAGTACTAATGGATTTTCCAATGTTGGAATTCAGAAAACAGTACCCCATAATGAAAGCCTTAGAAGCAGCCTCAGAAGCAAAAGCTTTTCTCTAACCTTCTCCCGATCTCCTAACTCTCAATCCCATTCTTCCCCCAGGCTAGCCATAGAAACTAGAATCCCTTTTTCCACAGCTAGTCAGAAACCAGAACCCCTTTTTCACAAAACCCACTGTAAAATCTAAAAATATTACTTTAACTTTCCTTCTGCATTCCTGTGTAAAAACTGGCCATAAAGAAACTATATGACCTACCGTTATCACTGTAGGTCATAAAGCCCTTATTCCAGAAAGCGTCCTGCCCCATACCCAGAAGGGAAGGATGCTGCACAGAGAGGCCAAGGAGAATCTGGAAGGACAGGTCCTGCTGGGTTTCAACACTCAAGCCTATTAGCATTAGATCATATCCTTATTGCCCATCCACATTTCTACACGACTGTCCATACTTTGTTGAAACTAAGCATAGAAATGAACAATTTTCCCTGTATCTTTCTGTCCTGATTCTAAAGGTTCCTCTGTGCACATTAAATAAATTTGTAGGTTTTTTCTCCTATTAATCTGCTTTTTGGTGATTTTTAGCAAAACTTCAGAGGGAAAGAGGAGGCTTTCCCTCAGCCCCAACACCAACAAAAGCAACTCTGCTTTCTAACAGCTTCTATTAACTTCAAGTAAATGAATAGCAAAAGGAAAATTGTAATATAAAAATATTTGGCAAATATATTTGAACCAGATACTCTATGGACATGTGGAAGATTTTTTGCTTTGTAATACCTTAGAAAAAAATAGAGCAATGTAACCAATGATTTATTCTTTGTGATTGCTACTGCACACTAGATGGGTAGTTTCCAACGGGGTCAGTATTTCTGGAAATCTTTACTTTTTGAAAAATGTAGTACATCCATCCTCACAAATTTTAAATTTAAATATTTTTGTTCATAGCCTTGTATAGGTGTACTTACCTACATTAATGAGCAATTTACTAGAACAGACATTTTGTTTGTCTGTTTCTTTTCTTTTTCTTTTTTTTTTTTTTTTTTTTTTTTTTTTTGAGACGGAGTCTCGCTCTGTCACCCAGGCTGGAGTGCAGTGGTGCGATCTCGGCTCACTGCAAGCTCCACCTCCCGGGTTCTCGGGTTTACGCCATTCTCCTGCCTCAGCCTTCCGGGTAGCTGGGACTACAGGCACCCGCCACCAGGCCCGGCTAATTTTTTTGTATTTTTAGTAGAGACGGGATTTCACCGTGTTAGCCAGGATGGTCTCAATCTCCTGACCTCGTGATCCGCCCGCTTTGGCCTCCCAAAGTGGTGGGATTACAGGCATCAGCCACGGCGCCCGGCCTGGAACAGAGATGTTTTAAATACAGATTATTAAAGTAAATGCAGGTGTTTGAATGTTTCTGCCAAAACATATATATATGTATATTTAGAGTTCTAAAAAAAAAGTTTAGGTAGAATTCTTTTGCCTGAAAATAGTTACTTCTTCCATTACCGAATACACATATATATATTCATATATATACACAATATATGTATTATGTATATATATATTGTGTGTGTATATATATGTGTGTGTGTATATATGTGTGTGTGTGTGTATATATATATATATAACAGTTCTAGAAAGTAACTTCTTGTAAAAAGGAGACTTTAAGTTTCTTCCTAGTAATTTTGCCAGTGGCAATTAGATACTTTGATATACAGGGACAAAGTAGTTTATTTTCAAGATTACACTTTTATCAGTTTGTGATTCTAGCCATCTTCCAATACTAGTGTATTAATTTTATATTTCTAAATTTTTGATTGACTATGCAGTGTGAGTTTATTTTACATTAGTGGACAACTTTTTAAAAAATAAAAAAATATATTGTTTAACATTAGTTTTAGAATGATAGTTTTCATGCAGAATTAGCTCCTTAGCCAAAAGTTTTGTGTTTTTTTTTCCTCCAGGCAATAACTTCTATTCTAGACATTATATCTGAGATTATGATGCCAACTGTATTAATAGTTGATATTTCTTTTGTCTTAAAAATCTTGGAACACAAATGCAGTTACTTTTCCATTACTGAATACTCATTTGATCATTTTATACAATATTACTTGAAACACTTAAGACCTATAATAAAGCTCAAGAATAGAGGAGGTAAAAATGAATTATACATAGCAACTTGCTTATTGTCTTGAGATTTTTACGAACGTTTCCAATGTGACCTTCTCTGTAGATGTAAAAGTAACACTCACAAATCTGTAATAGTCTTTACCTCAAGGGAAACGTCAAAAAATATTATGTGCAAAGTTTAGCTTGGCTTTAGAAATCTTATAAAGTTTCAAACTTATAGATTTTATTTCAAAAAATAATCAATTTTTGGTCTAATTTTCTTCAATCTGATGTATTCTGCTTTTTCAACACTGCACATAATATATGTCATGTACAACATTTTGAGTTAAGGAAAAGTTCTCGAGCATTCTATTTTAATTTTGGAGAATATTTTAATGATAACATTTTAATAAAAATAAGTGGCTGTCATTATACTTATTTTTTAAAGAGAATTTATTTATTATTTATTATTTTAACACACATCTTTCCTACTCCGTTGGCTTCATTTTTCCAAGAAGTTGAAGATACAAGTAACTAAAGATCCAGAGATACTGAAGTCAAAGTTTAATGTAATTTTATTGTATTTTATAATAAAATTTGACTTTTTTAAATGATGCTTTTAAAGTTATAGCATAGTTATGATTCTATTTTTTAAGGAGGTAAAATTCTTTTGTCTGTAAATAGCTAATTCCTTCAAATTCTTCAATATTACAGACACATTCATGGGAGTTATAAATATAAAAGTGAAGAATGTTTTTAACAGATGGTTGCTACAGCCTCTAATCCTTATTTAGAGTAACCTCTCTCACTATACTTTAGAGCTGCATCTGTTGAGAAAGTGATCGTTCAAACCCTTGTTTTGCTTATAAGACAAAGCACTGAGCATTGAAGGAGGAAGCATTGAGATTTCAAAATTTACAAAATTCTAAAATTAAACAAATAAATGTATTCAGAGTGACTCATGTGTTTCTCAAAGACTGAGTTTATGTGTTAGAGAAAAATGTGGGTAGTATTCCTACGCTACCCACACTCTTCTGTAACATCAAACACATTCTAAAATGAGAAATTGGTTTGGGAAGTAAGTTTATACTTACTTAGGTGTGGTCTACTTATATAGTCTTGTGTATAATAACTGGCTTTACTTCCATCATTTTTTTAAAAAAAGTAAAAAGAACATTTTGAGCTAATTCCAGTGGTTAAAACCTAAAAGTAATTTAGTTCTTTACTAAAAATATAAGTTGTAATTCCAGCACTTTGGGAGGCCGAGGCGGGTGGATCACCTGAGATCAAGAGTTTGAGACCATCCTGGCCAATATGGTGAAACCCCATCACTACTAAAAATACAAAAAATTAGCCAGGTGTGGTGGTGGACACCTGTAATCATAACTACTTGGGAGGCTGAGGCAGGAGAATCGTTTGAACCTGGGAGGCGGAGATTGCAGTGAGCCAAGATAGCACCATTGCACTCCAGCGTGGGCAACAAGAGTGAAACCCCATCTCAAAGAAAAAATAAGAATTAAGTTGTAATATTGAAAATATATAGGGAAATGATATAAAATAAATTCTGACTTCACAAAACAAATGCCATTACCCCTAGTACAGTGGCCTAATTATTATATGAATAAGTTTCAGGTTATTGCAACATTTATAACGTTTAAATAAACATGTTGTTTTAACAAATAAAAACAAAAATGTCAATTTTGGCTCTAACATAAAATTGCTTTTTGACCTTGGCCAAGTCAAAACACATCTCGTTTCACTTTTCTCATTAAAAACGTGATAATAATAGTTCCACTTATTTTTTGTTTTATTTATTTATTTATTTATTTTTGAGCTGGAGTCTCACTCTGTCCCCAGGCTGGAGTGCAACGGCGCGATCTCAGCTCACTGCAACCTCCGCTTCCCAGGTTCAAGTAATTCTCCTGCCTCAGCCTCCCAAGTAGCTGGGATTATAAGTGCCTGCCACCAAGCCTGGCTAATTTTTGTATTTTTGTAGAGATGGGGTTTCACCATGTTGGCCAGGCTGGTCTCGAACTCCTGACCTAAGATGATCCACCTGCCTTGGCCTCCCAAAGTGCTGCGATTACAGGCATGAGCTACCGTGCCCGGCCTAGTTCCACTTATTTTTATGCCTATAAATGTACTTATCAAACAAGGGCCCCAGGGGAAGTTCCCAAAACCCCGTGGGTTTTTGTGCTGACAATGATGATTATAAACACCCATGATAAGACTTTCTGTATAGTATGTATTTTTATAAGCACTAACTCAAATTTTATGAGGTAGATTTTATTATTATTATTATTATAGAATATGAGTAAACCAGGGTTTCTCCATAGCAGCATTATTGATATTCTGGACTGGATAATCCCTTGTTGTAGAGCGCCATCTGTGCACTGTAGAATGTTTAAAAGCTTCTTTGACCTCCACCCACTCAATGCCAATAGTTCACCTCTCTCCTCATGCCTCATTTATGACAACAAAACTGTCTCCAGATATTGGCAAAGAATCCCTGATAGGCAAAATTACCTTTAGTCATGTACTCACAGGAGTAAAGTTCATTCTAAAAGTGTACCAGAGATCTGTTAGATTTCAGTGGTGTAACATAAAAACATTCAGACATACATTTTTTTTTTAATTTCAATAGGATGCAATAATAAGCTTAACAGTATCTTTCTTTAATCCAGGTTAACATTAAATAGAACAATGAATAGGTATCGTGAAACAATTTAAATAAGTTTTTAGAAAAGAGATAAAGAGAAATAAATTTTTTAAAAGTGAATCAGACTAAATTTACATTTGTTCAAATGATTATGCAAGTTCCTCAACCAACTTTCTCCAAGATGCAAAATTTGCCCTGCCAAACAGTGCTTGATGAAACAAATTTGAAGCTCAGGGCAAAAGATGATGAAATCATCTTAGATGCCTGAGCAACTTTTTAAATACTGAGGCCCCAAACTCTCCTGGGCCTAAGAATTGCTTGCAAACTATTTTATATAAATAAATTCCCAGTTGTCACTCCTAGAAAATTTGATTCAATAGATTTGAAGTGGGATTCAGAAATTAGCACTTTAAAAGTACTCTAGAAAATTCTTATGCACCACACTTTGAGAAACTCTCAAATTGCACATTAAAAATTTCTGAGAATAGAATTTATTGGGAACATTCTATTAAATTACCCCGAAGCTGAAGTTGAACCTCTATTAAATATCAAAATGGCCCATGTGTAGTGTTTTGGTCACTGTATACTCTCAGTGGAAGAGATTCTTAGTCCACATGTGAATCAATGTGTGTACTTATATTTTTGTAAGTGTTATATAATTCCATTTACTGGATTATTTTTCCCTCTTTCTTTCAATGGATGAGCACATAGTCCAAAACCTCCTTCATACTTCATAATTTCTTCCCTACAATTCTACTCCTTGTCTATTTTGAGATGTTCCTCTATCACTCCTGCTTATGGTTATTATTTTTAAAAAGGGGGTTTATTTTTACCTCTGAGCTGTCATTTTTATTATCCTAATGCTACATCCCCTCCCCCCATTTTTCTTCCCTAAAAAATCAGTATATAAACAAGTGAATCTATAACATTTAACTCATGGAAAATAGACATCAAAGAACTGTAGAACAGTGAGGAAGCACTATACATTACCATTACTTATTCTGTGAGTGTGGTTTTTACCAATAAGAATCCACTAATAAGAGCTATAAACTAGTCCATTTATTTGTCTAAATTATTTTTAAAAATCTGTCAAAAACAAACTTTGTGATGGTTGCCACTGAATATCCATTTGAAAACCATGAGTTTAAATTTGTAAAAATTGTGATCACATACACAGTCAAAAAAAAGTTTACTTTTGAATACAGCTCTTGATAATTGAGACAATCTGTAATGCACCCAATTACCTCTAGAACTGTAAAAAATAGTCATATAAAATTACTGCAAATATTGAATAGAAATTCCTTGGCAAAAAAAATAAGTTTCTGAAATAACGAAGCTAGAACTTCATTTCAGTCGTTCCTCCAATATAGTACTTATTTATTTTGCATCAATATTTTACAATTAAATATGCTTAAAACTAATAAATAATAAATAACCAAATGGTTATAATTTATGAGAACAGTTACAGAATGCATCATCAATATTATTATTACTGTCAGTTAATATTGATTAGTTCATAGTGAGAACATTGCCTATTTTTATATTCTCATAAAAAGCCTATCTTATTTGTTTGTCAAAACCAACTAATCAGCTAAATTCTATGTTCATTTATTTTGGCTTCAATATAATTTGTCAGAGTAAAAAGAACAAAGAGATTGGTTGTCTGATAGTCTAGGTTTTGAGACAAACTGTAGAACACAAACTGTGTCATCTTAGGCAAGGCATCTGATGTTCATTCACAATTTTTAGATAATAATAAAGTACCTGTCTATTGACAATATTGCACAAATACTTAGTCACTATATTATATATGAAGCCAAAAATACTTTCCAAATAGAATATGTTAGTAAGTTTTACTTTAATTTTACTGATTAGTTCTAGGTTTCTGCTAACTGAAAAACAAAACGCATTTTATTGTTAAAAGCCTTTCTGAAAACCATCTAACCCCAAGAACACAAGTTATTTTGTTGAACCCAAATATTAATGATGAACATTATTCTCCATTAGTGATTAAACCATTAAGTCTTTCAATTAGTTACTTTATATTTTATGTTACCCAAATTAAACATAATATTCTAAATAATATAACACTTTATTACGAAACTTTTTTGAAGAAAAATAATATTTATTTTGTGGTTGCATTTTTAAAACTGCAAAAAATAATGTGTTTTATGTGAAAGTTGTTAAGAGAAGTACTAAAATACTTTGAAAGTATTTTATTTTATTTTATTTTTGAGACGGAGTTTCACTCTTGTTGTTGGGCTGCAGTGCAATGGCACGGTCTCGGCTCACTGCAACCTCCACCTCCTGGGTTCAAGCGGTTCTCCTGCCTCAGCCCCCAAGTAGCTGGGATTAAAGGCACCTGCCACCATGGTGGCCAATTTTTTTGTTTTTGTATTTTTAGTAGAAATGGGGTTTCACCATGTTGGCCAGGCTGGTCTTGAACTCCTGATATTACGTGATCCTCCTGCCCCAGCCTCCCGAAGTGCTGGGATTACAGGTGTGAGCCACTGTGCCTAGCCAAGAGTATTTACTCATAATATATTTAGAAGTAAAAAAAAAGATAAGGAGACAGTATTTTGGACAATTTGCAAAGGAACTATCCTGGTTGATAGATCTACAGAAGAAAGTTTATAATAATTTATTAAAAATATAAAAAGTTGTAATAAATAAGTAGAAATTTTAGAGTGGTAGGGAGTGGAGGATTTCAGAAAAGAATGTGTACCTCAGTGATAGCTATTAGGACAAAACTTAGCAATATAGATAAAAGATTTTTGTGTTTTATTACATTATTAATATTTGACATATAAGTGTACTTAACAATTATTAACATTCCAAAGATAATAAGAATACTATATTTTTTTGTTTGTTTGTTTTTTGTTTTTGAGACGGAGTTTCGCTCTGTCGCCCAGGCTGGAGTTCAGTGGTGCAATCTCAGCTCACTGCAACCTCTGCCTCCCAGGTTCAAGAGATTCTCGGGCCTCAGCCTCCCGAGTAGCTGGGATTACAGGCGTGTGCTGCCACACCAGGCTAATTTTTTGTATTTTTAGTAGAGACGGGGTTTCACCATGTTAGCCAGGAAGGTCTCGATCTCTTGACCTTATGATCCACCCACCTCGGCCTCCCAAAGTTTTGGGATTACAGGTGTGAGCCACTGTGCCCAGCCTACTTTATGTATTTTTTAAGAAAGAAGAAAAATAAAATTTTACACAAAAGAATTTTAAAATCACAGAAATTTCTCTATTTTGAAAGGTCAATAGCTTACAATTCATTAAGGAAAATTCTCAGTAGAAATATGTAATATTTTTTCTTCACTGAATCTTATATTCTCTGAAACCTTCCCTCACAGCCTAGGTAAAGATTTAGCATCCAGAGAGAATTAAATGTGAAAACGAAATTACGGTTTTGACTTTTGACTAAGAAAACTAAGTATGAAGTGATTCGTAGAATTCTATGTTCCATGAAAAATTAAATCATCTTAGGATGCAGGGATAATTTTTCATGAGTAGTTGAAAAACTGCTCCATTTTTATATTGATGGGTAAAAGTTAATGATCACATTCAATTTAAGGAGTCGCAGAAGCATAACTGCCACCATTATTGTTATACAGTTATATATTGAATGCTTATACTGTGCTACCTACCCTCAAATTTATATCTATGTACCTATAACTCTATTCCAGTCTTTACTTTTCAGTTTATCCCTATGAGGAATATGTCATAGATTAGGAAACTGATGTTTAGAAAGCTGAGACCTTTTTCCAAGGTCACACAGCATATAGGAGACAGAAGTATACTTTGAATCTTTTATCTATTTGCTTTGGAAAGCCTTCATTTATTCTACACATATTTATTGTTTGCCCTTTGTGTTCCAGATGCTTTTTGTTCTAGAGGCAAACTAGAGAAGAAGATGAGAAATCTATTCTGCCCAGCCTTCCCTTCATGCTAGTTGTTTTCCTGGTATTCTCAAGATTTTTGTTAAAATGTGCAGTCAAATCTACTTCCCCATTTGTTGCAGTAAGGGCAATACCAACTGTTGTGATAAGCACAGCCTGCCAGGGCAGCTCATGGCTGAGGTCCATCCTTCCTGACTTCCAATTTAGAAGTCTTTTTATCACACAACAAAATAGCAAAGCAGAATTTAACATAGTTTTAACATACCGTTAATTCACAGAGTATATAATTTAGGCTTCCAAAGTGCTGCATTTACTTTCGAGCCTCTAGGACACTACTGTCCTGCCTCTGTAATATGGGGAGAAATAAAGTTTATTTTTATGTATTTATTTTATTTTATTTTATTTTGAGATGGGGTACCGCTCTGTCATCTAGGTTGGTGTGCAGTGGAGTGGCATACTGTTAATTCACAGAGTATATAATTTAGGTTTCCAAAGAGGTACATTTACTTTTGAGCTTCTAGGACACTCCTGTCCTGCCTCTGTAATATGGGGAGAAATAAAGTTTATTTGTTTTATTTTATTTTATTTTATTTTTATTTTGAGACAGGTTACCGCTCTGTCATCCAGGTTGGTGTGCAGTGGAGTGAACATGATTCACTGCAGCCTCAACCTCCTTGGATCAAGTGATCCTCCCACCTTAGCCTTCTGAGTAGCTGGTACCACAGGTGCATGCTCGGCTAATTTATTTTTATTTTTTTGAAGAGACAGGATTGCCCTGTGTTGCCCAGGTCGGTCTCGGACTCCTGGGCTCAAGAGATCCTCCCACCTCAGCCTCTTGAAGTGCTGGGATTACAGGCGTGAGCCTCTGTGCCTGACCTAAAGTTGATTTTTTGGCGCAGCTGTCTTGACAGGGATACTGATGATTGCTGTCAACATGACCTTGTGGCTGCACTCATTGACTTTCAGGACAACCAGCATAAAGAAATCACCCATATGTGTTCAGTTAATTTTTTATGTATTGGCAAGGTGCTATATACAACCCTGTGATAAGTTCACAGCTGGTTTAATTAAAGCACAACACATGTAGGAACAGTTTCTACTTGATTTACAAATACACAAAAAGATATACAGCTAGTTTAAACACTGCAGTATTGCCTAAAATCTCAGTATTATCTCTTGCAAATAAGACACATTGAAGAAAAATAACAATCACAATATCTATATAGGATTTTCTGATATTAGAATAGCCAATAATAAGAAACATTTTACAGATATGCTTACTTGATCTCAACAATCTGAAATTCTTTGATGTAGTAAAAGAACATTTATTATTGGACTCTTTTAAGAAAAACAAAATGGAAAATACTCACATGAGAAATGATTCTACTTGTTTTTACTTCTATTTTGAACTCCCTCCTCTTATAACTTTGCAACTGTAAAGTTCACAAAGAACAAAATTAACTATGAAGTTAAAATGAGGTAGCACATATTAAAGACCCACGACAATGGCTTCCATGTAACAAGTGCAGAATACATGTGAGCATTTTAACATCTCTTTATCATTAAATGTTGTTGATTTTTCTACCCAACTCTTAAGAACAAATTTGATTCATCATTCTATAAAATTTCAAAGTAAAGGAAGCACAGCCATTTGAGGGAAGAGAAAATACTGATTTTCACTGTTTAAGTCAAATTCTAAACCTAAAGCAAAGCCTGTTTATATAGGTAGTACTGTGTGCAGAAAACATGACTAATCTCAATTCAAAAAAAAATCAAGGAGAAAAGTACAGCAATTTGTACCTTTTGCTAGCAATTCTTTAAAATAGAAAAAAAATGTGATTGTTTTGATTTCGATACATCAAAACTCAAAAAATAAAAATAAAATGCATATATTAGACAATAAAAATGTACTAATCTTCTATACAGAGTATTTGAATTTTATAACAACCAGTTTATTTTCATTAAACAGAGGTAAAGAATAGAAGAACCTTTTAAAAAGATGGCAATAGCAAGACTGGATACATTTGCTGCTCATAATAAATCCTGAGTTGTCAGTGGGTAGAAATACTGTATTTATTTTAGTGTGAATATATTACAATAATGTTTGCACCTGGTTTTTCTTTTTTGGCATGAGATACACATTTACTTTAATTGACATCTTTTATAAAGCTGATTGATATTTTATATTTAATATCTTAACACTTTGTGGTTTTTCATAGGTGTAGTAGTTTACTGTGGCTGCCATAATAAAATACCACAGACTGGATGACTTAAACAATGGAAATTTATTTTCTGTCACATCTCCAGGCTGAAAGTCCAAGATTAAGGTGCCAGCAGAGTTGGTTTCTCCGGAGGTCCTTCTCCTTGCTTCACAGATGGCCACCTTGTCACTGTGCGCTCACATGGTCTCTTCTCCGAGTGAGTGTATCCTTGGTGACTCTTCCTCTTCTTCTAAGCATATCAGTCCTACTGAACTGAAAACCCTGCCCTTATTATCTCAGTTAAAATTAATTACCTCTTTAATGGGCCTATGTCTAAATATAGTCACACTCTGGGTTAAGGCTTCAACATACTAATTTTTACTGTTATTTGGTTCATAAGCATGGAAAAGGTAGAAGAAATTATATTTTCAAATGCTAGTGGGTGGATATACAATAAAAGATTATCCTTGGCCAAAGAAAAGTGTGAACATTTTTTCCTCAAGGTCCTTGGTGATAACATCTGAGCCCATGAAATGTTCTGCCTCCTAATATTGTCTTCATATACTAGGGGGTACCTGAGTAGACATGCCAGATAGTCCCTGCTGACAGTGTGATTTATGGTGGGGGCTTTGAATTCAGGGTGTCAGCTTGACTTTTGGAGGGGCTAGAGAATAACGTTACAAAGGAGTTTAGTCAAAATGAAGGGCACAATCCCCCAGACTGCTAAGTCTGCCCAAGACTTCTGACACAAACTGCAAGTTCAGGGATTTTCCCAAACTACCTAAGGTTCAACAATTTGCTGGGCTTAACATGATTCCCTTAAAACTATTGTACTTGTGGTCACATTTACTACAGGAAAAGGATACAAACTGGAAACAACCAAAGAAAGAGACACATGGGGCAAAGTCTGGGAGAATTCCAAATGCAAAGTTTCCATTGTCCTCAGGGATGCATTATTTTTCTGGCATCAATGCGTGGCAATATACATGGAGTATTGCCAACTCAGGAAGCTCATGAGAGCTTCGGTATCCTGAAATTGTGTTGATACTTTATTATCTATATATGATTGATGCATTGTTCAAGGGATTGAACTCAATTTAACTGGCCTCTCTCACCAACCCTTAAAATCAGCCTGATATCATGTGACCCAAACCCCCAAACCTCTAACTGTACTGTTGGTCTTTCTGGCATGGCCAGCCCCAACTCCGACTCATCTTGTTAGCATAAACTATGAGATGTGGGTGAAAAATCCCACCATAAATAGCAAAGGCACTCCTATCACGCAATTACAAGTGTTTATCTAAATAACAATACCTCCTATAAGGTTAAATTCCTTCCTTCACATAACGTCAGACATATGGATAGTCAACCATGTCTCAGTGACCAACTCCCAATGAGGAGCCTGGATTCCAAGGCCCAGATGATCTTCCCTGATTGGTAATGCTCAGTGGTTTTTTGCCAAACATGGCTGCTGAGAAAAGTAGGCACTCTACATACTCCACAGGAAGAGAACAACATAAAATTCCATGCCTGGTCTTTCCTGAACCCTGCTTTATGTGTCTTTTTCCTTTGATGATTTTAATCTATATTATTTCACTTTTATAAAATGCAATTTTGAGTTTAATGGTTTTTTGAGTTTTTGGAGTTCTTTTAATGAATCATTAAACCTGAGGCTGATTTTGGGGACTTCCGGAACACATGACACTATTTTGAGGAGGTGGACAATATTGAAAACCATCACTATACATTTTTTTGTTTGCATCAATGTGTGGCCTGCCCTTATTATAATAGCCTTATAATATTATATTTATAATGTCCTTATTATAAGTTTGTTCAGGTCACAAAAACCATAATTCTACTACTTATTTTATTGCATCATGATAACACAGAAGATAATACAAAAGATCCTGAATCACAATGCTGACTCTCATATTTCCACTTTTGAAAGGCTATATGAGAAGCAAATCAATATGATAAATCATCAAAGGTAAGATATTTAGTCTGAGCAAACCACAGATGCTACTTGATTTGATTACTGGCCAGTGCAATTTAATGACCACACACATTTTCTACTATTCCACATTGCCAACAAGAATACCCAAGTCAGAGAAATTGGGATTTTTTTTCTCATAGACATACCAAAGAATATTTCCTAAATCATGACATTAAGGAGAAGGCAAACTTAAGACTAACTTTAAAATTATGGGGGGAATGAAGTAACAGAAGATGTTAATTAAAGTTCAACATACTCTAAACTCATTCTTATCTATAAATGTACATACAGGTGAGCATACAAAAGCTTTTAAAGCACTTTACATATATTAGCTCATTTATTCTTCACAATAATTATATGACTTCAGTGCTATTATTATATTTGTTTTATAGATAAGAAAACTTAAGCAGAGAGGTTAGGTAGTTTGGCTCATTACAGACAGTTTATAAGTGGTAACGTGATTCAATTTCAAACCTTGTCAGTTTAGCCCCAGAGTGTGGAATCACTATGCTATAATGAAAAACACACACACACACACACACACATATATGTTATAACAAAATTATATGTGAGTGTGTGTGTGTGTATATATATATGTTCAACTTTTTTTTGCTCAATGATTAAGAGCAGTAGCATGAGAATTAAAACCTTCGCTTCCACATTTTGTTTCTGTGGCTTTTGGGCATGGTGATGATATTATTGTGTCTCAATTTCCTCATTAATAAATTGGAGTAATCATGGTACTCACCTCAAGGCATAATATATTAATTAAATAAGGAAATGCATATCAAGTACTCACAAATTTTCCCAGTGCATAATAAATACTAAAGGGACACAATATTTACAATTTTATAGCTCAAATTCACAGAATTTCAGATTATTACTAAGCAAGAATTATGAATTTCCTCATATACATTTATTCAAGTTTTATACAATAGGAAGAATTCCACAAGTGTTTTCAAGGGCCCCTGTGATGACATTTGATTCAACTTGATTTTGAAACCTAGGTGTACATGTTAGAAAGGTACCCAAAACGTGCATTATTTCCATATCATACAGATTACAAATTCTGATAAAATTTCATAATCCAATTACCAATAAATGGTTCCAACTACATATAAACATTTCTCTAAATTTACATATAATTAGCTATTGATTCAGGTTTTTACAATAAATACTGCAAACTCTATATACAATTTGACATATTCAGTTTTCTATTGGACTGAATAGCCAACTTGACTAAGCAATTGGGGAATCTGTATGGCACTGATTTGTCTACTGGTATGGGGAATCTTTTCTGAAGATAAAAATAAGCCGAAAGTTTAGACCTTGGCCCAATGACAAAGATTTAATTGTCTAGTGAAAGAATTTCTAAATTTATTGTTTATATAACACCTATTTATTTAAAAAATCTAAGAAAGTGACTTGAAAGTAGAATGTGAGACATTTGTAGACTTATTAAAGTGTGCTTGGGATAAATTGTTCTTGAAATAAAATGTATTTGGAATAAAATAATAAACTGAGATAAATTAGAACCTGACAGGTTATGACTGTAATGAGGAAGGGGACATTTTGAGGTTAAGTTTATTCTAAAAGATGTTCTAGTGGACAAGGATATTAGGAATTTTATCAAGTTGGAAGAGCACACTTGGGAGGAAAACAGTTGGATGACACAGAAACTCAAGGCAGTGACAATAGTCAGGCATCAGCATTTACTAGGCAATAAAGGATTAAAAAAAAACCATAGAAACACAAATGATAAAGTATTTGTAAAACATAAACTTTGAAGATCTGAGTGATAAGAGCAGATTCTGTCTATTTGAAATTTAAAGACCAATTCAAGGATAACAGCATTCCAAAGCAAGTCAGCATATGGCTCTAGAAATATATGGGGGAAAAAATGGATAGGACGAAAACCTTTCCTGTGATCACCCATGATTGAGAGTTTCAAAAATTGTGTCTAGGTGATATATTTGAAGTTAGAATTAGGTCTATAAAAATATTAATTTTAGTTAATTTTGTATTATTTTGTCATAGGATATATAATTCTCTATTTTAATGATGTGATTTTACTGTCTACAATCACTTTGAAGTGGTAAGACATGTCAATGTGACTAAAAATATCAATAATTTGAACTCTTCTACTTTTTATAATACTTTTTTTCTAAATTAATAGTTATAATCAAGGAATATCTTTTATATTTCACAGAGAAACTGATGACACTTTTGCTTAAAAATGATCCTACTGATACTATATTTCCAGACTTCAAGGATTCTCTCTACTGCTACTGTTTCCTAATGTGAAACAGCTTTGCTCCATTGCTCCTATTTGTCCTTCACCATGTCCTAGCACTTTTTACTCTGTCTTCTCTGCTTCTGCACACCCAACAATAGATTGCCTAAGAACACTGCTGTCACTTGTCATTGAAGTGAATTTAATCCAAAGCAGACATTGCTATAAGTGCAACTCCAATACCAAGAACTGGCTGTATTCTCAGAGTTGGCATAATGTAGTAGAAGTAGCACAGGACTTGAAGCAGAATCTATTCCTTTTCTAAGGGTAAGACTCAACTGAGCAAGTTAACTTCGTGGTTTTAATTTTGTGAGTCATCTTGCAATTTTAGAAGCACCAATTTCAAAAGTGCTTTAATAGATGATATGTGGAATTTTCAGTAAAGACAAGTTTTCTAACTTTGTCAATAAAGGATTCTCTGAAGAAGGGAACATATATTATTATATTTCTGTTATTTCTGTTTTACTCAAAACAGCTTCATTTTGATGCTGAAGTTGATCTATAAGGCGTGTTTATTACATCAAAATTCACTGACTGATAACCTTCCATAAAGGCATATACCAAGTAATTGCTATATGTTAATAGTGACGGTGTAATAATTCTGTCAGGTATGGGCATAAGTGATGAACTACAATTGACTTTAATGATGTGGCTGGCAGAAACTGTTAACATTTTATTCAGATCTATGAGCGAGTATTGTGGGCATATCTAATTGTTAACCATTTATGAGGTGATGAAGCTTCTCCAGGCTGCATTAAATCAAAGTTTATACCATAAGTAACTGTAATGTATTAAATGAAACAGCATGTGTGAGCTCCAAAATTCTCTGATTTTCATTGCCAGGTTTATCATGCTGATGAGTTTTGCAGCTATACAAAGAACTAACGTCACAGTATTCACAAGGAAGTTTTCCTTCTCTGTTTAGACAGTGCAAGAAACTCTAGTGGGTATTTTAATGATATTTTCACAGGTCAGAGGGTGAATTGTAAAATTATACCAAATGAGAAATACACAGAGAAGCAATATTTTCTTTTGTAATTTCTAGTTCGCGATTGAGAAAACAATTTTTTCCCCAGTTTAAGAAGGTCTTTGTCTTAGTCCATCCCTGCTTTTACAAGAAAACACCATAAACTGGGAGGCTTATAAACAACAGCAATTTATTTTTCACGGTTCTGGAGACTGGGTAGTCTAAGATCAAGGTGTTGGCAGATTCAGTATCTGTTGGGGGCCTGCTTCCGCATTGACAAGCTGTCTTCTCACTGTCATCTCACATGCACGAAGGGGTAAACAGGCTGCCTGGGATCTCGTTTATAAGAACACTAATCCTTTTCATGAGGACTCTGCCCTCATGGCCTAATCATCTCCCAAAAGTCCAAATTCATACTATTATTACTTTGGGGGTTAGGATTTCAACATACGAATTTTAGAAGTATACAAATATTAAGACCCTAGCAGCCACAATCAGTTCACAGTCATTTTTTCATTTCCATGAGATCCACTTATATGGGGTTTTCCCCTCTTTGGTGACTTTTTGAAATAATGGTGCATTAATAAAATATTCTGAATTACTATTTTCTATCGCATATTATTGTACTTATTTTGGTGGCAGGCATAGGGATACTGAATCCTCATATCAAGAGACATTTAACCTTCAATTCTGATTCCATAAATATGTCAGTGGAGATAATATGATAGCCTAGGGATTGAGTTTATTTTATTTCTAAAGATACATACTTTTCAATTTTGCTTTATGAAAACCATACATAGGAGCTGAAAGAGCTCTGAAATAATCATAGTGTAAAACATTAAGAAATAATTCTA
The DNA here is from genome assembly GCF_000001405.40 of Homo sapiens. Classification (NCBI taxonomy): domain Eukaryota; kingdom Metazoa; phylum Chordata; class Mammalia; order Primates; family Hominidae; genus Homo; species Homo sapiens. The sequence goes on along the minus strand of NC_000003.12, from coordinate 164,363,738 downwards.
TGCCCAAACTAAAAATGTTACTGAGACAAAAAGCAAATCAGTCTAGGTAAGTACTTTTTCCAGCTACAGAGAAAGGGTACATGAAATTCTTCTATTAATTTCAGTAAAAATAATGCCCAATTTACCTCTTCTTAGAAATAAAGAACAGTCTCTGCATAACAGCATTCATGAGGAAATTGTTTGGGAAATTTGAAAGGAAAGGGGGTGTGTGTGTGTGTGTGTGTGTGTGTGTGTGTGTTGCTACTTTTGCATTGATTTCACTGGATACATTTTACATTAAGCATTTTAACATTTTCCTTTTTAATGTTTCTTCTTAGACTACTTTTTCCATAAATAGAAGTGGCACCAGAATTAACACTTGTTAAGTATTTCTGGAGGTGCAGAAAATAGGATTTCCAATACATGGAAATTAGAATGCATACATGAAAAAATGAGAAAATTTGTAACTTAAGTGAACTGAAGTTTAATCATCTTTCTAATCTAATATTTTCTTTTCTTAGTTTTATTTATTATTTTTTTTTAATTTTTAGGTTTGGGGGTACCTGTGAAGGTTTGTTACATAGGTGAACTCGTGTCACCAGCATTTGTTATACAGGTTATTTCATAACCCAAGTATTAAGCCTAGCACCCAGTAGATACCTTTTCTGCTCCTCTCCCACCGTCTGCCCTCCACTCCACTCGGCACTACTCCATCCCCAACAGACCCCAAAGTCTATTGTTCTCTTCTTCATGTTCATGAGTTTTTATCATTTAGCTCACACTTATGAGTGAAAACATGCAATATTTGGTTTCTGCCTAATATTTTCTTTGCTAGATGAGGCATTTGAGCAGTAGTGAAACTCATTTTTGAAAGTGAACTTATATTAAGGGCCAACATGTGACACTAGTACTTGATAGTAGAATTTCACTTCTAGTGTGAATCAAAATTCCAGAAGAAAGTAAATTATAGCCTCCTGTGAAACAGCACAGACTTTCATGTTTACTACCTGATGTTGTGTGCATGAGAGTGTATATAATGTTCTCAATGGATAAAGAGGGGAAATAATTAGTATTTCTGTTTTTTCACAAAAAGCTAAATAGAAATTTAATAAGACCAATACATGTGATCTGTTATTAATATGATATACTGACATGACATTATTTTCAGTAATTGATGAATTTTCTATACACATTTAATATTTTACAAAATCCACTAAATGGTTCTGCCTATCCAGAGGGAAAATAAAACCTCCAATATTTTTGCCACAGCACCATTAAACTTCCCTTATTTTTAACTATCTTGGATAGAGTCCATGTCGGCTTGATGCAATTAATGTCCTAATCAAAAAGTAACAGAACTCAAGAGCCCATTTAATCAGTGACAAATATAAATTGACTCATGAGTTTATAATTTATAAATAAAATGGTTTGTCAAGTCATACATGCAACATTAGAGCAATGCAATACTATTAGCATATTACATCTTCAATTTTTTGATATAAGAACAAACACAACTACAAGAAATCTAGCAGAAATCATTAAAATTGAACATATAAAAGTTTTCTTCAAAGAAAAGATTTACATAATACAAATAGAAAGTTAAAACGTGGTTTTCACAAATGGCATTGGTCAATATAACATGTTTCATTAATTTCTTTTTTCAAATTAATATTAGAAATGAATCAATTCCTGTGTAATTACTTTGTCATTCCTACTCTGTCTACACACAGATATCAATTTTACATGTATTGTAAATAGAGGGGTATCTATTGAATCATATTTAAAGGCATTGCCCTGATATACTAAACGATTTTAATCAGTATGGATTATTTAAAGAGAGAAAGAGAAGGAAAGAAAGAGAAAGAGAGAGTGAGAAAAAGAGGGTAAAGAGAGAAACTGATTGTGTTCCTAAAGTTATACAAAATAACAATTCTATAATGTCTCATTGGCAATATTAAATTCCTATTAGGCAAATGTTCCAGACTTTATGTAAAAAATATGTTTAACTTTCTGCTCATCAACTGATCAGCTGTCTTATTCATTTTGTTAGATATCTTTTTTTTTTCGCACCCCCCACCACCTCTCGCACCCCCAGTGGAGTCTCGCTCCCTCTTTCTCGCCTAGGCTGGAGTGCAGTGGCACGATCTCGGTTCACTGCAGCCTCTGCCTCCTGGATTTCAAGAGATTCTCCTGCCTCAGCCTCCTGAGTAGCTGGTATTACAGGCGTGTGCCACTACACCCGGCTAATTTTTTTTTTGTATTGTTAGTAGAGACGGGTTTTCACCGTGTTGACCAGGCTGGTCTTGAACTCCTGACCTCAAGTGATCCTCCTGCCTCGGTCTCCCAAAGTGCTGGGATTACAGGCCTGAGACACTGCGTCCAGCCTGTTGGATATCTTAGGGCAATAAATCAGCAATTCCTAACATTTTTGGCACCAGGAACCAGTTTTGTGGAGGAAAATTTTCCATAAATGAGGTGTGGGGCATTATATTTCCTTAAAGAGCACACAACCTAGATGCCTGACATGTGCAGTTCACAATAGGTTTCACGTTTCTATGAGAGTCTAATGCGCCTGCTGATCTGACAGGAGTCGGAGCTCAGGCAGTAATGCTCACTAGCCCACTGCTCACCTCTGCTGTGCCGCTTGGCTCCTAACAGTCCACGGACAGGTCTGGTGGTAGGGGTCCCCTGCAATAAATTATTTCCAGACATTTCAGTCGATTATGTCTTTATGTATTTTTACTAACATAAACATTTAGTAATTAACCATAAGGGATTTTTTTCCATCACTTTCTTAAACAGGCTGAAAAGACTGACTAGGCCAGAAACAGAAAGTGAAACCCATTAATCAGTATTTACCAATATAAATTTGTCGCTAAAAGTTTAAGTTACCAAATAATATAAACAGTGGCTAAATTTATCTGTGCATCTGTTCATTTTATACATACACACACACATACACACACGCACACAGTGTACCTAAGTATGTGCTTATTTCAGTGTCATGACAGAATTATAAAATACAGTAATTACTCTTGAAAAGTCATTTAGAATGAAATCAACACTAAAGGAACATATAATTTAGTTAGCAAAATATAGATACACATTCACTGTGTACTGTATTGTGTCTGTTTGGAAAAGACATTAAAAAGGTAAGTTAGATACTCGAATACATTGATTCCATCCTGAGAAGTTGAAACTTTAAAAAAATTTGAAACCATCAAAGCTTTTTCAGCAGTGAATCCAATATATGTATGATCTTATTATGCAGTAGTTTAGTGACATATGTGCCTATTACTCCACTCAGAGGTTGCATTCTGTGAAATCCAGAAGTGGGGTTTGTTGGTTTGTTTGCTTGTTTGTTTTGAGACGGAGTTTCGCTCTTTTCCCAGGATGGAGTGCAGTTGCACAATCTCGGCTCACTGCAATCTCTGCCTCCCAGGTTCAGGCGATTCTCCTGTCTCAGCCTCCCGAGTAGCTGGGATTACAGGCGCATGCCACCACACCTGGCTAAGTTTTGTATTATTAGTAGAGACAGGGTTTCATCATATTCGTCAGGTTGATCTCGAACTTCTGACCTCAGGTGATCCACCTACCTCAACCTCTCAAAGTGCTGGGATTACAGGCTTTAGCCACTGCGCCCAACCCAGACGGGGGTTTAATGTATCATTATATATTTGTTACCTAGTAAAATAACCAATATATAGCAGACATTAATCCAGATCAATATTAATAAGAAAACTGTCCCCTTAGTTACCAGGGTGACTCCCCATAAGCCATATTAATATTTTATAACCCTCTCATCACTCCCAAACTTGCTTATGGTTCAGAGATTTAGGGTTAGATTCCTTCCTAAAGCTAGACCTGTCCAAATTATTCTTTCAGACAAATTTTAATTAGAATTTCTGATTGAGTTTGTGTTTTACGTGGGAACTAGGGATGTTTTAAAGAAGAAAAACCTGATGTGTCATGAGACAGTCATATTCCTCTATGAATTTAGGAAGGCAGAAAAAGCAAGTCTGTAGAGACAGAAGCAGAAAGTAGATGACGAGAAAGAAATTTCTAGTTCCTAATTCCAGTATCTTCCTGAGGTTTGGCTATACTGGAAACTGTGGAGTGTGAGAGGAACATAGGCATTTTTATATTCAGTTCTTCCTTTGGCACAACTGCTTAAGAAGGTTCACACTGCTTGCAAAAAAGAGATGAATTCTAACTAAGAAACTATTGTTCAACTGAAGAATGAAGATTGTGACTTAGGTACAAAAATCTAATGGTAAAATGTAGTCATAGGTTGGAGGGAAGAAAAACAGGACAAGTCTAATTAAAATCAGGTAGGAAACCAGTGAATTTCTATTATGAAATTATTGTATGTTCTTGTAGCTCCACCTTTCCATTGGAGTCTGTGATTGTACTTAATTTGAGTATGGCAAGTGCCAGTATTTCCTTAAACTACTTTTAATAGTAAATAATACAACATAATCTTATGTCAAACAAAACAACTAAGACTTGATTTGATTGCCTCTATTTCTTGTAAGCTATTCAACTTTGGGAAATCATTCAAGTAGTCTAGATTCTATGTTCCCAAAATCAAATATAGGGCATTTGCTTAAAATAATGTGAGTGGTTTAGAAGACACAGGGTTAATACTGATTAGATAGAATAAAGCCAAATCTAAGTACAGTTGACTCTTGAACAACACAGGCCTGAATTGTGCAGGTACGCTTTTAGTGGACTGTTTTCAAGCAAACATGCATGGAAAATATAGTATTTCCAGGATGCAAAACCCACAAATACAGAGGCCAACTTTTCCTATAACCAGTTCCACAAGGCCAACTGCCCTTGAGTATGTGTGGATTTTGTTACATGAGGATGTCCTGGAGCCAATCCTCATTGTATACCGAGGGATGACTGTAATAATGTGATCATTTTGGAAAATCACTTATCAAGTTTTTTTTATTACTTGCTTTTTTCAGGAAGTTTTTGGTTTACAGAAAAATTGAATAAAAAAGTGTCCATATTATCTTTCCTTCCTGCACGTTTCTCTGTAATTTATAGCTTGCTTTGTTACATTTGTTATAAGTTGAACATTTGTTATAAGATGAACAAATAGTGATACATTACTATTTAGTAAAATTCGAAGTTTACATTAGAGTTCACTCTTTTGGTTGTACAGTTCTGTACAACAGAACTGCAGGGGTGCAGCCTAGGATCTGTTGCTTACAGCACAAAAAGTCAATCACTGAGATAACAAGTATTACCAGGGAAGAAGGATTTATTCCTGTGCTATAGCTGAGGAGAACAAGGTATCAGTCTCAAATCTGTCTACCCAACAGATCAAAACTGTGGAGTGTATATAGTGAGGGAAATTGAGAAAAATTAGGGAGGGCTAAGGAGTAATTATCATAGATGAGAGGTCTGGCATCTCGTTGTCTGGATGTAGTGGTCTGAGTTTTAGTTCCTTGCCTGAGGGTTCCAGAGGAAGGGACTCAGATGAGACAAAGATAAATTTCAAATTTAAAGACAGAGGGTCAATTTTGATGTTTATTATAAAAACTTGTAAATATCAGCTCTATGAGAAAATTGGGCTGGTTTCAATTCTATCGTTTTTGAAACTTAAAATAGTAACTTCTGACTAAATATATTCTTAATACTTTAGTTTTAATATCCACTGAATATTTCAATTCCCTTTCTCTTCTAGTATAGGCTGAACTGTTCATATTTGAAAATGTTCGTTATGACTTTTAGAAATATCTTGAGATGTGTGCATGTCCATGTGTAATTATTTTGGCAAAGAAAATTTTCATATCTACATTTGCTTTATCTCACATAATTTCTACAAATATTATTTTTCTATGTTTATTTTTTAACCAATAGAGATATTTTGAAAGACAATATTTTAAAATTCCAATGAGTAAAAAAACTAACATCTTGAGCTCTTGAAAAGCAATGATGTTAGGTAGCAAATTCTCACTGGACTGTCCAATACCTTCTGTCTTTTCAGCCCAGATAAGATAACTATTCAGAACAAAAGCAAAATAGCAAGAAAATCTCAGGTATATTTGAATTCAGCTATTTTCTGTTATCCTGGATTTTCTAATGAACCCTGACATTACACTTTAAAATTCTAAGTATTGTTATTGAATCTTTTGTGAGCTATTTAATCTGTTTAAAAGCAGAGACAAATGAGGCCATCAATATTTAAATGATTTCTATTCCTCATGGTGATTTCAAAATGAATCTCAGCTTACATTTGAAGATCTGAAAAAAGAAACAGTTGCCATCACAGACTCAGTGTATCAACAGTGAAGAATACGTTTTTGCATTTGAGATTTATATGATTATTTGAGATGAAGAACTTACGGTAGTGACAAAGAAAGGGAAAAGCTCAGATTTTGAAGGGTGGTAATTGTTTTGGGTAATTTCAGTTAACCCAGGAGGAAAAAGTAACATGGAAATTAGTTTATGGTAATCAAGAAAAAGCAGTTTCAAGATATGCTTTAATTTTCAGTGCCAAGATGTATCTAAAAATTTTATGCTATGGAAGTTGGAACTATCCCTCCCCCTACACCTCCTAATATCTGACATTGGTATACTTTTTGTTTTTCAATTATAAATTATTAACAATACACTTTTATTTCAGTCTTTCAAGAAAACTTTATGTGAGATGATGCTATTAGATTCCACATACTTCCAACTTTTCTCCTAATACCTTCACTCAATATCTGTGGTCTGCCTTCTATCAATATCTACACTATTGCTTTTATTATTGCCAAGTCATTAATATTCATGCTCTCTCTGACTGCCAAGTCTTCTGCACTTTTTCCCTAGGTTGATCCTAGATGTTGAAAAAAAAATTAATGGCATTTATCTTGCTGTGATTATGCAATTATTTTCACTTCAAGTAGAGTTCTGGGATTTTATTTTTTTCTCTATAGGTAATGTGTCTGGATCTCTAGGGCACTTGAAGGAGATTTTTTGTTTATGTAGCATCAAGCCTAAACTGATTCTTTTTCTCTCACTTTTTTATATGTTCTTAGTTTCTTGTTTGTTTTTTATAATCAGGCCACATTTTAATTAGCTTTATATTTGAATTGTTAATTTTTTAAAAAAATATTTGTTCCTCTAAATTTTTCATTTTTTATTAAATATTAAGGTTTTATTATTCTTTCAAGTGTTTCATTTAAAAAATCAGTTGTCTCTCCTGATAACCCTATCTTCCCATCCCTGAAAACCTCATGTTCTCTGGTATAGCACTGCCATTTTCTAGATCTTATACACTTCTACTCTTTCATTTACTTCCCCATTTTGCTGAAGATAATCTCAACTAAATTTCTAAGTGAAGGGTACAAAAGAGAAAAATATTTTAAGGATGTTTATGTTTGATAATGATTTCATGTTATATTTTCTCGATACTTTACTGAGTATATCCTGCTCGGTTACAAACATTACCCCAAAACTTTAAGAAGACTTTGCCTCCTTGCCTGCTTTTTAATCTCCAAGAGCACTATACAGAGTTTTCTGCTCACTTCATGGCACAAAATTCTTACTTTAAGGGTGTCTTACTATTGTGAGTATATTTATTCAAGTTGTTTTTTAAAGTTCTCTTTTCTTTGCCAAATTATTATGTCTTTTTCGAATATTGCATTTTTTCTGATATTGTTATAAACTGGTATTTTTTTTTAACATATTACTGATCTGTTCATATGTTTTTGGTCATTGTCTTTTCATAGTACAGGCATAAGAACAAAAGAGCTGAGAGCTGTCCTGTGGTATATTGTAAGTAGGCCTTCTCTGCTAGGTATCTCAGTGTGACAACTGTTACTGTAAGAAGTTTGTATTTTTGTCAGGACAAATTTCACATTAGAAAGAGCTGTCAGACAACGGATTGTCAGGATGAGGTTTCTCCAAAACCTCAATGCAAAGTTTTTATTTGGTGGAACTAATGCGTACACTAAAAGAATTAACTTTCCCCAGAATAATTCTTTCCTGCCCCTAAAAATAATTCTTTCTTTAGCCAAAGGGATATCCTGTATTTTAATTAAGGATTATTAATAGGCTGCCTATATTTTCAGTTGAATCTCTCCATTTTCAATAAAGATTCCCTCAACCCACATTAAATTTTATATTTATGTAATATGTAATTATCAGTAAACAACCTTCATCCTCTTTGTTTTTGAAAAATTAACTGCGATTTTATCTGCTGGAAATGCTTTATTCTCTTGAATATCTTTGTGTTTTTGGGCTTTTCCTTTGGTTCTTTTAGTTTTATATTTTAGACAGGGTTTCAGTGAGATATGGAGTAGGTCTGGATATACACTAGCTTGAAATTATTGATTTCAAAATGGCACTATTTAAAAAAATACCTATTGTGAGATTGATATATTTTGGATTATTTAACATTCCACAAAAAGTTTATAGAAAATTCCGTTATTGATTATTTATTCTTGTTTTCTGTTTTTGTTATATTTAAGTACTCTTCCAGAAATCCATATTTTAATTTCTACATCTAAATTATTCTGTAGACTATGAGCTCTTTAAGAACAGAAATCTGGTATTACATTAGTTTTAATTCTTTTCTCAGCTATACACTATACTCAGGCGCTGCATTAAATGTTGATATAATTAATTAAATTCCAGTATTCAAAAGTTTATTGATAGTTTTATAACTGTTTTAGGTGGTTCAATAATAAATAGATTACATATTTTGCTCTAGGCATTTAAGTAAGTGGAATATAACCATGAACACGTATGTTTATAGATTATAGTTGCAAGTATTATATATGTAATATAAATTTTATAGTTTTAACTGTATCTACTCCAATTTGTACTTATTTTTTTCAGGTTCTAGTTCTATTTCCAATTTTGTTTTACTGTAATATGCAAGGGATAATGTGCAGTTTTTCTTGGTTTCATCTAGAAGTCAGGCGAATCATGCAATATTTTTATTTCAACAGCAATCCCATCTTATGACTTATAATCTTCCAATCCATTTATATCTATAACATACGAGAAAGGGACAAGATTTTATGTCAACATTTTACTCAGACTATAAGATATAGTTAACTAACCCTTTGTGGAAGTATGAGAAGGAAAATCACCTTAAATCTGACATAAATATTATTTGACCTCATGCTTGTTGAGTTCCAGAGACCCTAAACTATTGTAAATATTAGTTTCTTCTTTTAACTTCACTTTTAAAATAGGTGATATGTATTTTCATAATACAGTATCTTTTGTAGATTTTAATAACTGTATACTAACTTATCACAGCCATGGTATTTGAATATATATTTAGCTTGATAGTAAAATGTTAAACCTTTGTGAAATGTAATGTAATATACAAAGAGGTGTCTTCCTGGTTCACAGCTCTAAGATAGAGTTCAGAAGCCATTCTAAGAATGACTGTATTAACTTGTCTTAAATCTTTGAACAAGGCCAAAGTGCCATGATCGCGTCACCCTGGAAAACAGGTGAATTTCTTCAGTGCTGCAACTCTTATACAGTGACAACCAATGAACTATGAACATGTACTAAGCCTGTTGCCTACACCAAAGATATTTCCTTCAAAACAACTGGTATGATCACTCTGAGTCCTTTTAAAAATCTCTACTCTCATCCCTCTCTTCAGAACATAATTTGGTCTTTAGTGGAGTTTGTTTCCTGAAATGAAATTCATAAAACCCCAATAAACACCTTGTCTTATGGCTTTGCAGTTGATTGACTAATCAACTGACTAATTGACTGACTCCTTCAAATCAACTAGGTTTAATTTCCAATATACATATGATGAGGCTTTTATTTTCTTGTTTCAAAAATAAAAAATAATTTTGTTATTAGAACAGATGTTTGAAGCAATCCCACAGATGTCTGGATCTTCTAGGAGAGGTTTGTTAAAGGTCTCTAATTCAGATTGTGTGAGATACTGTGGGAATGGATTTTGTGTTTCACTTTAAACCTCCTGCAGCTCATCCTGCATGAAATGTAAAATCACATCTCAGAAAGCAGATTGAGTATTTATGGTAATTTTTCTCTATAAAATGAAAAGGTGACTGAAAATTAACTGAAGAGTAAATGTATAGAATGACACTTAAGCTTAAAAACAATATAATACTGCCAAATTACATTTATTTAATTATATCATTGAAATTAGGTATGAGTAAATAATTATATAAATTCTTTAAAAATAATTTAATGAGCATACTCTTTCTTTGAAAAAATAAGAAAAGTACTCTGTAGTATTTTTATTTTTGAGGTCTTCTTACAAGATTATGCATTTTGGTAAGTGCCCATTATCTATTATCAAGTCACCATTCAAACCTAAGATGACACATGCAGATAGATTTGGTTTTATTATTAAAAGAAAACATTTGTGGTAAGATGCTGAGGTTATATTTCTTAAATTCTTAATTGTGACATCATGTATTTATATGTTTTGAAAATGCTATCTGAAGGAGGACAAAACAATCATTTCTGAGGCTATTAAGGATGTGGATTCAAGGTCAGACAAAGCTTTCAATACTTAAGAATAAACCAAAGCTGGAGACTCAGGCTTTTAAGAGTCATTAAGTATTTAACAGTTATTAGCCAAAAGCCTCTGGCAATTTTGTTTGCTACAAAGAACTTTGCTTTAGTGGCTCCATACAAAAACAGCTTGGGAGTTTTGATTGATTTATTAGGGTGACTTTGGTTTATTTAGAGAACACAATGTCTGTATCTAGGTTATTGTTTGAGTTTATTTGATGATACTATTATAGCTTACCAGTGGAAAATAAACAAATAAATACAGTAAAAGGAAATGATATAGGCTAGAAACTGTATCATCATATTCTTTTTGTATGTGGCTCATTACTACACTATAAATTTGATGTTAAAGTAAATTAAAAGTATATTTTAAATCTGCCTCTGAAACAAAAGTTGGTCTGTGAGGTTAACACCAAATATGAGTGAGCATTGGAATAACCATACACCTTTTAGGAATCACAAAGTACACAACAGTATATGAAAGTATCTCCAGTAAAGTGAATGCTTGCTCAATTGAAGGGCTCCACTTACTTGGAAATCTTTATCACAACAGAAAATGTCCACAGAAATGAACAATTTACTCTTGTTCAAAATGTCACATTCAGGAAAAGGTTTACTAACCCTTGGGAGAACACTAAAGACTTTTGAGAATTTTTCATGTTAACCAGTCATCTTCTGGGAATTATGACCTAAATATTGATATGACTAAAACTCATGTGTCAATGCAAATCTAGTTGTATCTTGGATTACATACATATAACACTATGCTTAAATCATAGTCTAACAATTGACTTCAGATTAAAGTGTCATTCTTACAATATCACCTATGTGGTATATTTTTGCATTTAAATTTCTGCCTGTTAAGCTTGACAGATGTAACTTTATTATATATTATGTTAATATATAATAAACATATTAATATATAATATGTTAATATATAATAATATGTTTATATACAATATATAATATAGTTTTATATAAAATTATATATTTTAATTAAAGTATATCTTAAAATTTTATTCTTACTCTAATAAAAGAAAGAGTTTCTTCATACTAGGTATGAAAACAAAATGAATATTTGTCATTGGTTCTTTTTACCCTTTTATTTTAATTGAACCACACTATTTAAAAATATTTCTTAGCACTGAGAATTTCAATTTTACTTTGAACTGAATTATTTTAATAAATAAGAAAATATTCAATTTTAAAAAATAGTGACATATGCTATTTCTTCACTATGAATTATGAGCACAAAACAATATAAACTAAGTAGTTCAAACTCATATTTATAAAAATATTGGTTAAAAGGATGACTATTACAGGCTAATTAATATAAATATTGTTAATGATTAAACTATTTTCTTCCTTAGAGAAAATGGTGCCACAGTCTGAACAGTTTTCTTTTCTTTTTTAATACTTAACATCATCTTTGGTAATATGAGCCTACAACAGTAAATCTGAACTGTCATAAAAATAGAGCTTTATTGATGGAAGTTCATTACGTACTCTACATCCACATTAAAGGAAGACAGATAGGAGGCATTATCAAACGTAGAGAGACACTTTTTTCCCTCATTGCTGACATTTATACTCTACAAATGATAAAGTAAAAGTGCCCTGTGACCTTTGGTCCCTCTCTTTTCAAAATTAAAAAGAATTGCATAGGACATCACAGGACCTACTGGGCTAGAGTGAGGTCCATTTCTCTCCTTCAGGGGATGGCTACCTGAAAGTGTGGCATACAGTAGGAATTTAACAAATGATTCAAGAAGTTAAGAGTAGGAAAATATGTTCAGGAATTTAAAACACAATGCATCTGGAATTGAACTAATTATACATATCCCAAATTCCACTGTCTTTTGAGTCATAACTCAAATGCCCTGGAATCTCTAGTTGACAGAATTTTTTTATTTCTTCCAACACATATAAGCTCTCTGTGGACCTGCCAAAAAAAATCTGACCTGAACAGTAGTTAAGTGGAAACAAACAAAACAAAAAACAAAAAACCAATAAACCTCAAAAACTACTGCAATAAAAGAAAAGAGACATCAGTATAGATCTAGCTCAATTCTGAATACCACATGAAAAAGTGATTCATAGCCCAGAAACACAGTTGGAGGGGGTCAAATAGTGGATGGAAAATTACTGAGAGAAACTTCAAGGGTAAAAGGTGGTTCCTGGCTAAGTTGACTTAACAGGATTTTTGCTGAAGGTAGGCAAGGATGATGAGATATCATCTTGTTGATGATGAGGTATGAGAAATTTGATTAGACATGGGGAGTGATCAGGTATTGAGGGTGGGATCCTGGCTAAACCAACTAAATTGTTTTTTTGCTAAAACAGAGGGATGCAAAGATAAACATGGAAGTCCATAGGTCAAGACCTACATGATCAGAGGATACAAAGAAAACTGACTGAAGTTTGGTCAAAGAGCTGAACTTTGTCTTACCCAAGGCACTTACTATTAATAATGCTCTTATAGTACTGATCTCAATGACTTCATTATATGACTCTTTTCCTCATCATGGTAAAAGTTTACTGTAGATCAGTGGCTCTAAATAGGGGGTGATTTTGCTTCCCATTGGATATTTGGCTGTACCTGAAGACATTTTTTGTTGTCACAACTGGGTGAATGCTACTGATATCTAGAGTAGAGACAACAATGTCACTAAACATCCTGCAATGCAAAGGACAATCCCTCACAAGAAAGAATTTCTATTTTAAAAGGTCAGTAGTGGTCAAATGGAAAAACTTTGCAGCAGATAAAGAATTGTGTCCCACTGCCATGTTCCTAAACTTTTGTCTGTGTGTGTGCTTCATATGAAGAATACTTTCCAAATTTTATAATCAGCGCATGAAGAGGCTAGGCGGTCTGTTAGAGATAGCTCATGACTTTTAAATACTGTAATGCATTTTATATAATAAAACTGTTTTTTTAACCCATTTGATTTCTTTTATTATAAAAATATTGTAATAAAATATTCTTTATAAAACATATTAGTTATGGTACATGGCATAGGCTACAATAGAAAGTCCAAATGTAGAGGCTTTAACAAGGAAGACATTTATTTCTTTCTCATTAAAAAGTTCAGAAACAAGTGATTCAGGAAATAGGATGGCTTCACATCATCAATATAAGTTTTCCTAAATCTAAGGTAGTGTCTCTAGAGCTCTTCACTTCCAGTCAGCTGTGAGGGAAAATAGGTAGTGAGTATATATGCATTTCCAATGGAAAACATCTTCTAATGCCTATTGGTCAGAATCTAGGACCAATTGATTACACTAAGGCTGGGAAATGTTGTCTCTTGATGGAAGACTCTGTAACACTGAAGTACAGAAATTCTACAGTACTTATAAAGAACGGAGAATGGTATAGGTCAGAACTAGCAATCTCTGATGAGTGAAGTAAGGTAAAGTTTGAAAAATATGAAAAAACAAAATAATTACTCAGTTTTCAGAGTACTGACTTCCAGTTTTCTAATGCTATTTTAACAAAATATAATAGTATTATAAGCAGACATTGTTTAATATTTTATTATGAATATCCTTTTATGTAAGTGAATGTTCTTAAAAAATAAAGAGCTTCTACTACTACAAAGTGTTTCATCATAAAGTTAACATATCATTTCTTAACCATTAGCTTTTATAGACATTTTAATAGTTTCTTACATTTTACTGTGGCAAAAATTACTAATGAACATCTTACACAGATATGGGTCCACCTCTGTAATTATTTTCTTAAGGGTGATTCCTAAAAAATGGATTTGTGGATTAAATGTTATGAGTAAATGTTTTGTAAAAATCTAAGACACATTGGTTAATTGTGTTTCACAGTGGTTATAGCAATTTATACCCCATCAACATGTGAGGCTATATATTTGACTCAATCATTGCCAATAGTTACATTACTGCAAAAGTATAATCATTGATATTGTTTTTTCTTCTGTAAAAAGAAAATTAAAACTCGAGATTCCATTTGACTATGCCAAAATGAAAATAAGGCTTAAAGCTGAGTTTTGCAATAAACTGCCTTTCCTTCTGTTCCTAGGAAGATACCTATAGATAAGGGATTAAATGTCTTCACAGGTAGCTACTCTATGTTCATCATCTTATGTAAAATGCTGATTTACTGAGTACAAGATGGATATATAATTGACTATTCCCCTACCTGTTCCTTTTCTCTTACAGTATGTGAATTCAGTAATGTGACCACACCCTCCCTTTGTCCCCTTCTGCATGCTCCTTTCCTTTAAATATTGAAGCCCTCAAAATTATCTTTGGATAAAGGCACAGATCTGTCTCCAAGGCACATCCTTACCCATGGCAAAATAAACTAAATTGATTGATACCTGTCTCAGACACTTTCTGGTTTATAAATTGGTGACCACAAAGGGACTCTGAGTGGAGGTAGCCCTGACCTTTGACAAATCTTGTATCAGTGCTTGACACCACTTTGAGTTATCTTGATTGCTCAAACCAATACAACAATTTTCTGAGGCCTGGGAGCTCCTGCCTCCAGAGAATCCATGATCTCCCCAAGTTCATTTGACATCTAAGTTTTATTTTCCTGTTCAATTCCTTTTCTGGAGTTTTGGTCACTTCCAACAAGGAAGGTGAGGTTTCCTGCTTCTGCAATGTTGGAGAGAGAGCAGGCAACTCCTTGTAGTTTCAGCTCACTTCCAACAGGGAAGGCAAGTTTGAGTTTTTTCCTGCTTCTAAGATGGTGCAGAGCAGTCTTCAGCCTGGGCCCCATTCCTAGGTAAGTAGCTGAATTGGGGTTTATTCTTGGAAATTATCTTTAATGATTAAAAGTTAAGATTAACAACTAGCTGGTCTTAATTTCTACTTACAATTAGAGCACACAGTAATTGTATAAATTGTGCAATTGTTTGTTTTGCTCAACTTTTTTTGTTTGTTTCTGTTTTGCTGGTTGTTTTTGTTGTTTCTGTCTTTTGTTCATTGAGTTTGATCAATTCTACCTGACTTGATCAAATCTGAAGGAAAGTTCCAAATTATGGGGAACAAGGCCTCTCAATTGGCTAAATTCTTGCAGTGAGAGAGAGAGAGAGAGAGAGAGAGAGACATAAATTTTGATTACCTGAGGGACTTTATTTAAATAACAAGGCCACCTTCTGCTAGCCAAGCCAAACTGACAGAGTAATGGCAGTTGCCCATCCTATAATTCAGTAGCTAAGATTCTGCCCTTTTTTCACCATGGCAGCCTGGGTTTGGATCCTAAGCCAAATCCTTTCTGCTTGATATTTGCATTACTTTTGAAACAGCAGCAGTTTGTACCAGCTACAAAATATTAATGAGATTTAAAAGAATTTTTTAAGAGCTCAATAGTTAAATGTCAGCTTAATTAAAAAATACATGTTTATGTACATACTGTCAGGCCTCTGAGCCCAAGCTAAGCCTTCATATCTCCTGTGACTTGCACGTGCACATCCAGATGGCCGGTTCCTGCCTTAACTGATGACATTCCACCACAAAAGAAGTGAAAATGGCCTGTTCCTGTCTTAACTGATGACATTGTCTTGTGAAATTCCTTCTCCTGGCTCATCCTGGCTCAAAAGCTCCCCTACTGAGCACCTTGTGACCCCCACTCTGCCCGCCAGAGAACAACCCCCCTTTGACTGTAATTTTTCTTTATCTACCCAAATCCTATAAAATGGCCCCACCCTTACCTCCCTTCACTGACTCTCTTTTTGGACTCATCCCGCCTGCACCCAGGTGATTAAAAGCTTTATTGCTCACACAAAGCCTGTTTGGTGGTCTCTTCACATGGGCGCGCATGAAATTTGGTGCCATGACTCGGATCGCGGGACCTCCCTTGGGAGATAAATTCCCTGTCCTCCTCTTCTTTGCTCCATGAGAAAGATCCACCTATGACCTCAGGTCCTCAGACCGACCAGCCCAAAAAGCATCTCACCAATTTCAAATCCTGTAAGCGGCCTCCTTTTACTCTCTTCTCCAACCTCCCTCACTATCTCTCAACCTCTTTCTCCTTTCAATCTTGATGCCACACTTCAGTCTCTCCCTTCTCTTAATTTCAATTCCTTTCATTTTCTGATAGAGACAAAGGAGATACGTTTTATCCGTGGACCAAAACTCCGGCGCTGGTCATGGACTGGGAATGCAGCCTTCCCTTGCTGTTTAATCATTGCAGGGATGCCTCTCTGATTATTCACCCACGTTTCAGAGGTGTCAGACCACGCAGAGATACCTGCCTTGGTCCTTCACCCTTAGTGGCAAGTCCTGCTTTTCTGGAGGAGGGGCAAGTATCCCAACCCCTTCTCTCTGTGTCTCTACCCCTTCTCTGCTTTTCTGGGAGAGGGGCAAAACCCCATCAACCCCTTCTCCTTCATCCTTAGCGGCAAGTCCCGCTTTTCTAGTGGTCAAGAATCCCCAATCCCTTATTTCTGCACCCCGACCTCTTATCTCTGCACCCCAATCCCTTATTTCCATGCCCCGACCTCTTATCTCTGTGCCTCAACCCCTTATTTCTGCTCCCCAACCCCTTTCCCACTTTTCTGGAGGGTAAGAACCCCTGAACCCCTTCCCTCCATGTCTCTACTCTCTCTTTTCTCTGGGCTTACCTCCTTCACTATAGGCAAACTTCCACCCTCCATTCCTCCATCTCCCTTAGCCTGTGCTATCAAGACCTTAAAACCTCTTCAACTCACACCTGACCTAAAACCTAAATGCCTTATTTTCTTCTGCAATGCTGCTTGACCCCAATACAAACTCGAAAGTGGTTCCAAATAACCAGAAAACGGCACTTTCAATTTTTCCATCCTGGAAGATCTAAATAATTCTTGTCATAAAATAGGCAAATGGTCTGAGATGCCTGACCTCTAGGCATTCTTTTACACATCGGTCCCTCCCTAGTCTCTGTGCCCAGTGCAACTCATCCCAAATCTTCCTTCTTTCCTTCCTGCCTGTCCCCTCAGTCCCAACCCCCAAGTGGTGCTGAGTCTTTCTAATCTTCCTTTTCTACAGACCCATCTGACCTCTCCCCTCCTCCCCAGGCCACTCCTCACCAGGCCGAGCTAGGTCCCAATTCTTCCTCAGCCTCCACTACTCCACCCTATAATCTTTTTATCACCTCCCTTCCTCACACCCATCTGGTTTACAGTTTCATTCTGTGAGTAGCCCTCCCCCACCTGCCCAGCAATTTCCTCTTAAAAAGGTGGCTGAAGTTAAAGGCATAGTCAAGGTTAATGCTCCTTTTTCTTTATCAGACCTCTCCCAAATCAGTGAGCATTTAGACTCTTTCATCAAATATGAAAAACCCAGCCCAGTTCATGGCTTGTTCAGCAGCAACCCTGAGACGCTTTACAGCCCTAGACCCCAAAAAGTCAAAAGGCAGTCTTATTCTCAATATACATTTTATTACCCAATCTGCTCCTGACATTAAATAAAACTCCAAAAATTAAATTCCAGCCCTCAAATCCCACAACAGGACTTAATTAGCCTCACCTTCAAGGTGTACAATAATAGAGTAGAGGCAGCCAAGTAGCAACATATTTCTGAGTTGCAATTCTTCGCCTCCACTGTGAGACAAACCCCAGCCACATCTCTAGTACACAAGAACTGCAAATACCTGAAATGCAAGCTGCCAGGGGTTCCTCCAGAACCTCCTCCCCCAGGAGCTTGCTACAAGTGCTGGAAATCTGCCCACTAAGCCAAGGAATGCCCACAGCCCAGGACTCCTCCTAAGCCGTGTCCCATCTGTGCAGGACCCCACTGAAAATTAGACTGTTCAACTCACCTGGCAGCCACTTCCAGAGCCCCTGGAACTCTGGCCCAAGGCTCTCTGACTGACTCCTTCCCAGATCTTCTCGGCTTAGCAGCTGAAGACTGACACTGCCTGATCACCTCAGAAGCCTACAGGACCATCACAGATGCTCTCACAGTGGAAGGTAAATCCGTCCCCTTCTTAATCAATATGGAGGCTACTCACTCCACATTACCTTATTTTCAAGGGCCTGTTTCCCTTGCCTCCATAACTGTTGTGGGTATTGACGGCCAGGCTTCTAAACCTCTTAAAACTCCCCAACTCTGGTGCCAACTTAGACAATACTCTTTTAAGCACTCCTTTTTAGTTATCCCCACCTGCCCAGTTCCCTTATTAGGCTGAGACACTTTAACTAAATTGTCTGCTTCCCTGACTATTCCTGGGCTATAGCCACACCTCATTGCCACCTTTTCCCCCAGTTCAAAGCCTCCTTCACAGCCTCCCCTTTTATCTCCCCACCTTAACCCACAAGTATAAGACACCTCTACTCCCTCCTTAGCGACCGATCATGCACCCCTTACCATCCCATTAAAACCTAATCACTCTTACCCAACTCAATGCCAATATCCCATCCCACAGCATGCTTTGAAAGGATTAAAGCCTGTTATCACTCGCCTGTTACAACATGGCCTTTTAAACCCTATAAACTCTTCTTACCATTCCCCCATTTTACTTGTCCTAAAACCAGACAAGGCTTACAGGTTAGTTCAGAATCTGCACCTTATCAACCAAATTGTTTTGCCTATCCACCCCATGGTGCCAAACCCATATACTCTCCTATCCTCAATACCTCCCTCTACAACCCATTATTCTGTTCTAGATCTCAAACATGCTGTCTTTATTATTCCTTTTCACCCTTCATCCTAGCCCCTCCTTTCTTTCACTTAGACTGACCCTGACACCCATTAGGCTCAGTAAATTACCTGGGCTGTACTGCTGCAAGGCTTCACAGACAGTCCCCATTACTTCAGTCAAGCCCAAATTTCATCCTCATCTGTTACCTATCTCAGCATAATTCTCATAAAAACACACGTGCTCTCCCTGCTGATCATGTCTGATTAATCTCCCAAACCTCAATCCCTTACAAAACAACAACTCCTTTCCTTCCTAGGCATGGTTAGTGTTGTCAGAATTCTTACACAAGAACCAGGACTGCACCCTGTAGCCTTTCTGTCCAAACAACTTGACCTTACTGTTTTAGCCTAGTCCTCATGTCTGTGTGCAGCGGCTGCCACTGCTTTAATCTTTTAGAGGCCCTAAAAATCACAAACTATGCTCAACTCACTCACTACATTTCTCATAACTTCCAAAATCTATTTTGTTCCTCATACCTGATGCATATACTTTCTGCTCCCTGGCTCCTTCAGCTGTACTCACTCTTTGTTAAGTCTCACAATTACCATTGTTCCTGGCCCGGACTTCAATCTGGCCTCCCACATTATTCCTGATACCACACCTGACCCCCATGACTGTATCTCTCTGATCCACCTGACATTCACCCCATTTCCCTATATTTCCTTCTTTCCTGTTCCTCACCCTGATCACGTTTGATTTATTGATGGCAGTTCCACCAGGCCTAATCATCACACACCAGCAAAGGCAGGCTATGCTATAGTACAAGCCACTAGCCTGCATCTTAGAACCTCTCATTTCCTTTCCATCGTGGAACTCTATCCTCAAGGAAATACCTTCTCAGTGTTCCATCTGCTATTCTACTACTCCTCAAGGATTATTCAGGCCCCCTCCCTTCCCTACACATTAAGCTCGAGGATTTGCCCCCACCCAGGACTGGCAAATTAGCTTTACTCAACATGCCCCGAGTCAGGTAACTAAAATACCTCTTAGTCTAGGTAGACACTTTCACTGGATAGGTAGAGGCCTTTCCTACAGGGTCTGGGAAGGCTACCGCAGTCATTTCTTCCCTCTGTCAGACATAATTCCTCAGTTTAGCCTTCCCACCTCTATACAGTCTGATAACAGACCAGCCTTTATTAGTCAAATCAGCCAAGCAGTTTTTCAGGCTTAGTATTCAGTGAAACCTTTATATCCCTTACAGTCCTCAGTCTTCAGGAAAGGTAGAACGGACTAAAGGTCTTTTGAAAACACACCTGACCAAGCTCAGCCACCAAATTAAAATGGACTGGACAATACTTTTACCACTTTCCCTTCTCAGAAGTCAGACCTGTCCTCAGAATGCTACAAGGTACAGCCCATTTGAGCTCCTGTATAGACGCTCCTTTTTATTAGGTCCCAGTATCATTCCAGACACCAGACCAACTTAGAGTGTGCCCCCAAAAAACTTGTCATCCCTACTATCTTCTATCTAGTCATACTCCTATTCACCGTTCTCAACTACTCATACATGCCCTGCTCTTGTTTACACTGCCAGTTTACACTGTTTCTCCAAGCCATCACAGCTGATATCTCCTGGTGCTATCCCCAAATTGCTACTCTAAACTCTTGAAGTAAATAAATAATCTTTGCTGGCAGGACTATGCTGAATCTCCTTAGGCACTCTCTAATCAGATGCCCTAGGTCCTCCCAATTCTTAGACCTTTTATACCTGTTTTTCTCCTTCTCTTATTCCATTTAGTTTTTCAATTCATACAAAACCGTATCTACATGACAAATGTTTCTTCTAACAACCCCACAATATCACCCCTTACCACAAAATCTTCCTTCAGCTTAATCTCTCCCACTCTAGGTTCCCATACCACCCCTAATCCCGCTCGAAGCAGCCCTGAGAAACATCGCCCATTATCTCTCCATACCACCCCCAAAAATTTTCAATGTCCCAACACTTTACCACTTTCATTTTATTTTTCTTATTAATATAAGAAGACAGGAATGTCAGGCCTCTGAGCCCAAGCTAAGCCTTCATATCCCCTGTGACCTGCACGTACAAATCCAGATGGCCACTTCCTGCCTTAACTGATGACATTCCACCACAAAAGAAGTGAAAATGGCCTGTTCCTGCCTTAACTGATGGATGACATTGTCTTGTGAAATTCCTTCTCCTGGGCTGATCCTGGCTCAAAAGCTCCCCTACTGAGCACCTTGTGACCCCCACTCTGCCCGCCAGAGAACCCCCCTTTGACTGTAATTTTCCTTTATCTACCCAAATCCTGTAAAATGGCCCCACCCTTATCTCCCTTTGCTGACTCTTTTTGGACTCGGCCCGCCTGCACCCGGGTGATTAAAAGCTTTGTTGCTCACACAAAGCCTGTTGGGTGGTCTCTTCACACAGATGCACATGAAACATAAGTGTGTGTATATATATATGTACTTGAATACATATATGTGTGTATATGTACATATATGTGTGTGTACATGTGTGTGTTTATGTGTGTGTATGTGTATATATATATATATATGTATGTATAAAAAAACCAAGTTCCTGGGAGAGAAAATAAGCATAAATATATGCTTTTAAATATATATGTGGTAAATAAATATATGTTAAAATACACATACACACAAATATGCATATATACACACATATACACGTATATAAGTGTATATATACACATAAAGATATATTGTAATACCCAACCTTGTTTTTTCCTTATTCACCTGGCCTTGTTTCTCCCTTAGCTAAGAGAACCAGACAAACTCCATCTTGGCTCTTTCACTGGCAGCCCCTTCCTCAAGGACTTAACTTGTGCAAGCTGACTCCCAGCACATCCAAGAATGCAATTAACTGATAAAATACTGTGGCAAGCTATATCTGCAGTCCTCAAGAATTCGTCTGATTGATAATGCCCAAAGCCCCGCCTCTATCACCTTGTAATAGTCTTAAAGCCCCTGCACCTGGAACTGTTTACTTTCCTGTAACCATTTATCCTTTTAACTTTTTGACTACTTAGCTTCTGTAAAATTGTTTTAACTAAACCCCCCCTCCCCTTCCTAAACCAAGATATAAAAGTTAATCAAGCCCCTTCCTCGGGCGGAGAGAATTTTGAGTGTTAGCGGTCTCTCGGTCGCCGGCTAATAAAGGACTCTTAATTCATCTCAAAGTGTGGTGTTTTCTCTAACACCCCTGGGCACAACATTTTGGAGGCCCCAGCGAGATATTAACACCACCGTGTGAGATCCGGTCTCGCTCCAGGCTCCCCCGGAAGGACGGCCGGCTCGGAGGCGGGGCGCCACCTGAGGAAACAATTTTCAGGTCCCCGAAGAGTGACCGTCTTCCAGAGGAGAGCAGATCGACTACCGTGTGAGTGACCTAAAATTCAGCATCTGAGTCCTCAGCTTCTGACCCCAGGGTCAGGTAGGTCAGATTTGACTTCCTTCAGGTTCTGGTAAGAGGGAAGCAGCTCTGAAGAGGGCGTCCCTCTTTTGACTCAGCCCGTTACTCTAGGACACTAGTGGGTTGAGCCTTGGTTTTCTGATAGGCGCCTTTGTGTCTTGGTTTGGGTGGGAAGGGGTCCTGAAGAGGACCCTCCCACTTTTGGACTTAGCTTAAGACCCAGACGCTGGGGAGCTGAGACTTGGTTTCTGTCAGACCGGTCTCTCTCTCTCTCTCTCTCTTTTCTATCTTCCATCCTTCTTTTGTTCAGGTTTCTTGGAGAATCTCCGGGAAAGAAAAAAAAACTGTTATAAACTCTGTATAAATGGTGTGTAAATGTGGGAGGACAAAGGCTTGCATTTGTCTTCCAGTTTGTAGCTCCACGGCGAAAGCTACAGAGTTCGAG
Organism: Homo sapiens; assembly: GCF_000001405.40. Taxonomy (NCBI): domain Eukaryota; kingdom Metazoa; phylum Chordata; class Mammalia; order Primates; family Hominidae; genus Homo; species Homo sapiens. Next base: position 164,340,743 of record NC_000003.12, on the reverse strand, counting down.
TGGGCCCTCAACTGGGGTTCCATGGCTACCTCATAAGGCTTAAGGCAGCATCGGGCATAGCTCGATCCAAGCCGGGGGTTTATACCGGCCTGCCAATGCTAAGAGGAGCCCAAGTCCCCTCAGGGGGAGCGGCCAGGCGGACATCTGAATGATCCCATCACGGGACCCCCTTCCCTTGTCTGTCTAAAAAAAAAAAAAAAAAAAAAAGGAAAACTGTCATAACTGTTTACATGCCCTAGGGTGGAATTGTTTGCTTTATGTTTTATTGCTCTGTTCAGTGTTCATTGTCTTGTTTAGTATTTGTTAAGGTTTTGCATGTCAGAACGTCGATATTGCCCAAGACGTCTGGGTAAAAACTTCTTCAGGGTCCTTAGTGCTGATTTTTTGTCACAAGATGTTAAATTTCTCATCAGTTGTTTAGGCTGGCCACCACAGTCCTGTCTTTTCTGCCAGAAGCAAGTCAGGTGTTGTTACGGGAACAAATGTAAAGAACATATGTCTGATTGGGATTTCTGGCACCATGAAGGTTGGCTGGTATTTAGACTGTCATACCCCACGTCCTAGTGATTGGACTTCTTCTGAACTAAACTGGTGGTGGGTTCAAAACAGCCACCCTGTAGACCTACTTGCCTATCTCTTCTGTCATTCTGTAACCTTCCCCATGCCCTTAAATAGGACCTTGTGTAGGGAAACCTATGCCCCTACTGTTTACTTCATTTAAATTCCTACTCTGTTCCCCTGCGGATACTCTCTCATCTTAAAAACTACCCGAGTGGTCCCTTTCCTCCTCGTCCCTGCCCCCTACCCCGCACATCTCATTTTCCACCTCCTCGTCCCTGCCCCCCTACCCCGTACATCTCTTTTTCCAGTGCGACAGCAAGTTCAGCGTCTCCAAGACTTGGCTCTGCTCTCACTCCTTGAACCCTTAAAAGAAAGAGCTGAATTTGAACTGTTTGCCTTTGAATCATGGAGACATCAAAAATATTTAGGATATAGGTCTAGAGGAAAAAGAAGAGGGAGAATACCTAGATTGAACCAGCCCAGGAGACCTCAGGCTGGCGTCTAGTCCCCCTCCCTCAATCTTAAAGCTACAGCAATGTGGCAAGTTGTATTAGCTGTTGTGGTTTTTCTGTTCTTCCTGATCATGTTAATTCTGTTTTTCCAACACTCCAGCCCCCCAGGGAAAGAGTTTCTCTGCCCATGTTAGATCTGATATCTCTACTTAAGACTTTGCTAAATTGCCTTTAAATAATAATAATAATAATAATAATAAAATAGGAAACACTTCCTCCCAGCCTTGCAAGGGTTGGAGCCCCCTCCAGTGTATGCTGAAAAATTTTTCTCTTGGTTTCTCAGAGGATTAGGGAGTCTGCCTTAAGAAAGGCAAACTCTGGACACTCTGTGAAGTAAAATGGCCAGTTTAGAGTTAGGTGGCCCTCTTAAGGGTCGTTGAATCCTGTAATTGCTCAAGCCATGTGGCAGGTTGTTACTGAAGCTCCCAGCCACCCTGATCAGTTTCCCTATGTAGATCAATGGTTAAGTTTGGTCAAGAATCCTCCTCCATGGCTCCATTCATGCGCCATTCACAATTCCACCTCCAAAGTCCTCCTGAGCCAGGCTACGTTTTCGCCTCGACCCTCAGCCAGTTCGGCACCACCTGTACTGCCCTCCTCTGAAGAAGAGGAGAGTTTCCCTCACCCAGTTCCGCCGCCTTACAACCAACCTGCTCCTCTAGCGTCATCCCATGTCTCTTCAACGACGTCCTCTGTGGGGTCGCCGCCCATTGCCTCCCAGCTGCGACCGTTGCGGGAGGAAGCAGCCCCTCTACTACCACTGAGAGAGGCACAAGTCCCTCCGGGTGATGAGCACTCAGCCCCCTTCTTGGTTTATTTCCCTTTTTCTACTTCTAACTTGTATAATTGGAAAACCCATAATCCTCCCTTCTCTGAAAAGCCCCAGGCTTTGACCTCACTGATGGAGTCCGTACTCCGGACCCATCGGCCCACCTGGCAAGACTGCCAACAGCTCCTTTTAACTCTCTTTACCTCTGAGGAGAGGGAGCGTATCCGAAAAGAGGCCAGAAAGCACTTCCTTGCATCAGCCGGTAGGCCTGAGGAGGAAGGTAGAGACCTCCTTGAGGAGGCCTTTCCCTCTACCCGGCCTAACTGGGACCCAAATTCCTCAAGTGGAAGGACAGCTTTGGACAATTTTCACCGGTATCTCCTCATGGGTATTAAGGGAGCCTCTCGGAAACCCATAAACTTGTCTAAGGCGACTGAAGTCGTCCAGGTTCCCGAAGAGTCACTAGGAGCGTTTTTAGAGTGCCTCCAGGAGGCTTACCGGATTTACACCCCTTTTGACCCAGCGTCCCCTGAAAATAGCCGTGCTCTTAATTTGGCATTTGTGGCTCAGGCAGCCCCAGATGTGAGGAGAAAACTCCAAAAACTGGAGGGATTTGCTGGGATAAATATCAGTCAGCTTCTAGAAATAGCCCAAAAGGTTTTTGACAATCAAGAGTATAAAAAACAGAAACAAGCAACACAGGCAGCTGAAAAAGCCACCGATAAAGCATATAAAAGACAAGCAAAAATCTAATGGCAGCTATCCAAGAGGTACAGAATGAAATGGCCTGTTAATTTGGACAGACACAGAAGAACAGACTTTTCAAAACCTGAAAAAGGCATTAACTGAAGCCCTTCCTTTAGCCCTCCCTAATATCTCAAAGCTGTTTCACCTGTTTGTCCATGAAAGCCAGGGAGTTGCTTAAAAGGCTTGAGACTCAGACTTTAGAACCCTGGAGATACCCGGTAGCCTATTTATCTAAGAGACTGGATCCTGTGGCCTCCGGATGGCCAAGTTGTCTTCGAGCTGTAGCGGCTACAGCAATTCTAGTCCAAGAAACTGATAAGTTAACTCTGGGCCAGGATTTAACCCTTACAGCTCCTCATGCTGTAGAGACTTTATTTTGAAGTGCTTCAGGTAAATGGATGTCAAATGCTGGCATTTTACAATATCAGAGTTTACTGTTGAATCAGCCTCGTTTGACTTTCTCTCCCACAAGGTGTTTAAATCCTGCTACCCTACTCCCAGATCCAGATTCCAATATTCCTGTCCATGACTGTCAGGAACTGTTGGAAACTACCAAAACTGGCCAGCCAGATCTTTAAGATGTGCCCCTTGAGAAGGCGGATGCCACTGTGTTCACAGATGGTGGCAGCTTTCTCGATCAGGGAGTACGAAAGGCGGGTGCAGCTGTTACCACGGAGACAGATGTGTTGTGGACTCAGGCTTTACCAGCAAACACCTTAGCGCAAAAAGCTGAATTGATCACCCTCACTCAGGGTCTCCGATGGGGTAAGGATAAACGTATTAACGTTTACACTGACAGCAGGTACACCTTTGCTACTGTGCATGTACATGGACACATCTACCAGGAGCGCAGGCTACTCACCTCAGCAGAAAAGGCTATCAAAAACAAAGAAGAATCTCCCATCTTCAAAGCCTAACAGATCAAGCAGTTTTCCGGTACACAACCTGAGCCCAGGTAAATGCCAAGCAAGGTCCTCAACCCAGCCCAGGTCACCGTCTCTGAGGAAACTCACCAGGAGAAAAGTGGGAAATTGACTTTACAGAAGTAAAACCACACCGGGCTGGGTACAGATACCTTCTAGTAACTAGTAGACACCTTCTCCAGATGGGCTGAGGCATTTGCTACCAAAAATGAAACTGCCAGCAAGGTGGTTAAGTTTTTATTCAATGAAATCATCCCTTGACACGGGCTGCCTGCTGCCATAGGGTCTGATAATGGACCTGCCTTCACCTCGTCCATAGCTCAGTCGGTCAGTAAGGTGTTAAACATTCAGTGGAAGCTCCATTGTGCCTATCGACCCCAGAGCTTTGGGCAGGTAGAACGCATGAACTGCACCCTAAAACACTCTTACAAAATTAATCTTAAAAACTGGTGAAAATTGGGTAAGTCTCCTTCCTTTTAGCCCTACTTAGAGTAAGATGCACCCCTTATCGGGCTGGGTTCTCGCCTTTTGAAATCATGTATGGACGGGCACCGCCTATCTTGCCTAAGCTAAGAGATGTCCATTTGGCAGAAATATCACAAGCTAATTTATTGCAGTATCTACAGTCTCTCCAACAGGTACAAGATATCATTCTGCCACTTGTTTGAGGAGCCCATCCCAATCCAATTCCTAAACAGACAGGGCCTTGCCATTCATTCCAGCCAGTAGACCTAATGTTTGTTAAAAAGTTCCAGTAAGAAGGACTCACTCCTGATTCATCACTCCCGCATCAAAAAGGCCAACAGAGCCCAACTAAAAACATAGGTCCCCAGGCCTAGGTCAGGCCCCTTTAAAACTGCACCTAAGTTAGGTGAAGCCATTAGATTAATTCTTTTTATCTACCTCACTTGTTTGTTTTTGCCTGTTATGTCCTCTGCGCATTCCTACTCCTTTCTCCTCACCTCTTTCATAACAGGACATGTATTTGCAAACACCACTTGGAGGGCTGGTACCTTCAAGGAAGTTTCCTTTGCAGTTGATTTTTGTGCACTGTTCCCAGAGCCAGCCCATACCCATGAAGAGCAACACAATCTGCTGGTCCCAGAAGCAAAAAGTGTCGACCTTGCAGCAAGATTTGGACGCTCTGGGAGCCAAACTAAATGTGGAAGCTCCAAAGGTGCAAAAAAAAGGACTCCAAAATGTTGACTGTTACCTCTGTCCTGGAAATCACCCTAATGCTAGCTGTCAAGATACTTATCAGTTTTTCTGCTCTGATTGGACATGTGTAACTTTAGCCACCTACTCTGGGGGATCAGCCAGATATTAATTCCATAACTCGTGCTTCTCATCCTAAATCATGTACTGAAAAGAATTGTAATCCTCTTAACTATAACTGCCCATGACCCTAATTCAGCTCAATGGTATTATGGCATGTCATGGGGATTAAGACTTTATATCTCAGGATTCGATGTTGGAACTATGTTCACCATCCAAAAGAAAATTTTGGTCTCATGGAGCCCACCTAAGCCAATCGGGCCTTTAACTGATCTAGGTGACCCTATGTTCCAGAAACACCCTGACAAAGTTGATTTAACTGTTCCTCTACCATTCTTAGTTTCTAAGCCCCGGCTACAAGGACATCATCTTCAACCCAGCCTAATGTCTATACTAGGTGGAGTACATCATTTCCTTAACCTCATCCAGCCTAAACTAGCCCAAGATTGTTGGCTATGTTTAAAAGTAAAACCCCCTTATTATGTAGGGTTAGGAGTAGAAGCCACTCTTAAACGTGGCCCTCTATCCTGTCATACACGACCCTGTGCTCTCACACTAGGAGATGTGTCTGGAAACGCTTCCTGTCTGATTAGTACCAGGTATAACTTGTCTGCTTCTCCTTTCCAGGCTATGTGTAATCAGTCCCTACTTACTTCCACAAGTACCTCAGTCTCTTACCAAGCGCCTATCAATACCTGGTTGGCCTGAACCTCAGGTCTCACTCGCTGCATTAATAGAACTGAACCAGGACGTCTCTTGTGTATGTTAGTTCATGTTCTTCCCCAAGTATACGTGTACCGTGGACCAGAAGGACAACTCCTCATCGCTCCCCCGGAATTACATCCCAGGTTGCGCCGAGCTGCCCCACTACTGGTTCCCCTCTTGGCTGGTCTTAGCATAGCTGGGTCAGCAGCCATTGGTATGGCTGCCCTGGTTCAAGAAGAAACTGGACTAATGTCTTTGTCTCAACAGGTGGATGCTGATTTAAGTAACCTCCACTCTGCCATAGATATACTACATTCCCAGGTAGAGTCTCTGGCTGAAGTAGTACTTCAAAACCGCTGAGGCTTAGACCTGCTATTCCTCTCTCAAGGAGGATTATGTACAGCTCTAGGAGAAAGCTGTTGCTTCTATGCCAATCAATCTGGAGTCATAAAAGATACGCTCCAAAAAGTTTGAGAAAATCTAGATAGGCGCCAACAAGAACGAGAAAATAACATCCCCTGCTATCAAAGCATGTTCAACTGGAACCCCTGGCTAACTACTTTAATCACTGAGTTAGCTGGACCTCTCCTCATCATACTATTAAGTTTAATCTTCGGTCCTTGTATATTAAATTGGTTTCTTAATTTTATAAAACAGCGCATAGCTTCTGTCAAACTTAAGTATCTTAGGACTCAGTGTAACCCCCTTGTCATAACTGAGGAATCAATGATTTGATTCCCCAAAAACACAAGTGGGGAATGTAATACCCAACCTTGTTTTTTCCTTATTCACCTGGCCTTGTTTCTCCCTTGGCTAAGAGAACCAGACAAACTCCATCTTGGCTCTTTCACTGGCAGCCCCTTCCTCAAGGACTTAACTTGTGCAAGCTGACTCCCAGCATATCCAAGAATGCAATTAACTGATAAGATACTGTGGCAAACTATATCCACAGTCCCCAAGAATTCGTCTGATTAATAACACCCAAAGCCCCACGTCTATCACCTTGTAATAGCCTTAAAGCCCCTGCACCTGGAACTGTTTACTTTCCTGTAACCATTTATCCTTTTAACTTTTTGACTACTTAACTTTGGTAAAATTGTTTTAACTAAACCCCCCCTCCCCTTCCTAAACCAGGATATAAAAGTTAATCAAGCCCCTTCCTCGGGGCTGAGAGAATTTTGAGCGTTAGCTGTCTCTCGGTCACCGGCTAATAAAGGACTCTTAATTCATCTCAAAGTGTGGCACAACAATATAACCCATATATTTAACCATTTATTTAATAAATATACATATATATGTAAATATATGTATATACATACTATATATATTTAAAAGAAATTTATCCTTATTTTTCTTTCCTGGGATTTTAGTTTTTGAGAAATTTTTTTTTTTTATTCTCAGTCAACTGAATTGTTTAATATGCCCATAAAAAGACTTCAGCTGGCAGAGCAACACAAGTGGCTGGCTGATGCAAGCAGTCGGAGATACAAGCTGTTGAGCATTGGGGATACAAGCTGCTGAGTGTCAGAGACTATGGATAGACAGGTAGACACAGCTAACTTCAGACGGTGCAGCTTCAGGGAAAGATCACCTTCCCTCATAATCTCCTTTCCAACTAGAAACCTGCTAAGAGCTACTTTTATTGCCCAATAAAAATCCTCCACATACACTATCCTTCAATTCATTCATGTGACCTGATTTTTCTTGGATGCCAGACAAGAACCCAGGTACTGAGAGGGCAGGGGCTTGGACGTTTCTCCCCCCAGAGAGGAGTGACCAGCCGGTTCCAGCATTCATTCCCTCTGGTTCCTGCACTCGCTTGCATACTCCCTTTTGTGAGAAGTGGCCAAGAGCAGAGCGAGCTGAGTGAAATGAGTCACTACATTTCCCACCCATGAAGGGGGTTAGGGTCAAGGGAACAATCCTGTCTCATCTGGGGGCCCATATGGGATACGAGAAAGGGTAAGTTAAAATGTGGAACTGTTGAATCTGTCTCTCTTCCAATAAACTGCCACCTCTCTCTTTCTTTTGGGTAAAAGGAATGTTGGTTCTGTTCTCCTTCATGGAAGTCTAGCCGGTCTGAACCGTGGGAGGGATACAGTGATTAAAAAAAACCATTTGCACAGAGCAAGAGGCTTTTTCTTCTCCCAGGTCCCCTACCCCGACCTTAAGCACTTTAAGCTTTCTTTTCTAAGCAAGAGGATTCTCTTCATACCTCAGCAATCTGCTTGTGATAGGGAGGCAACAGAGGAGCAACCCCTGCTGGCTGTTACTCATTAATTTGGAAAAGCCCATCTGGGACTTAATCTAAATGAATCCATGCAGCCCCTGAAATGCCTTTTTTCTGTCTCAAACTCAGTTCCAAGATTTAGCTTGAGGGCCTGGAGAGGAAAAACAGATCTGAGAGATCCAAAGCCAGGCAACAAGCACAGTGTAAATGGGCAAGGCCAATTCCTGACAATTAAACCCCTGCATCAGGGAGGGAGGGCATGTTCCATAGCATAAATGAGGCCCAGGGAACTCAAAGGTTGTCAACAGTAGGGGAGGTAGAGGCATAGGTGAGTGTGGATAATTCCTTTTCTCTAGGCCCTCCCTGCTTCATGGGTGCAAGCTGCATTCGCAACCATGGGTGGCACCTGCTAAGGTCGCCAGGACTGCAGGACATGAAGACAGAAAGGAAAGGCAGGACTCCCACTTCCTCTCTCCCTCACAGCCCAGGTTATTGCTGAAAGAAAGAAGGAAATTGAGGAGCACCTAATTCCCTGTCCTTCAGAATGAGCAACCCACAAACTTCACCACGTCCAGTTTATACTCAGAAATGGACCCTGGGACAAGATAGTACCTTAGAGAAACTCCTGAAAGTGGCCACCTTAGTTTTTCTGACACAAAAAGGAGGGAGAAGCTTTAATAGCCAGGATGTAAGCCCACAAACCCCAGAATTTCTAAGATTCACCTGTTAACTGCTACAGATGTGGCAAGAGCAGCAATCCCTCTCATAAAGTTTAAATACAAGGTTTAATTTCTTTCACCATGGTGAGACAGCTTGGGGTACAGTGTTGTTAGCATATTTTATTTCTTTTCTATAATCTTTGCCACAAGATTCTTCCTTTGTCTAATACACATATTTGACACTTGCACACTTAACCTTTGAAAACAAGGCCTGAGATAACTCTCTTTCAACTTTCTCATCAGATACAGTAATTTTTTTTTTTTCCCACAGGTTCTAATTGCTGTTGTGGCCTGATGCTAAAAATGTTTATCATAAAGATCTAAAGAAATGTTTTGTTCCTATGTAATATTCTGTGCTCTTGGCTTTAAATTGTTCCTTGAGGCTGGGTGAGGTGGTTCACGCCTGTAATCCCAGCAATTTTTGCAGCTGAGGCAGGCGGATCATTTGAGGCCAGGAATTTGACACCAGCCTGGCCAACATGTTAAAACCCCACCTTTACTGAAAATACAAAAATTAGCCAGGTATGGTGGTGCTTGCATGTATTCCCAGCTACTCAAGAGGCTGAGGAGAATCGCTTCAACCCAGGAGGTGGAAGTTACAGTGAGCAGAGATCACACCACTGCACTTCAGCCTGGGTGATAGAGCCAGATTCTGTCTCAAAAAAAAAAGTTCCTTGAAACTGAAAATTTTCACTTATGACCAAGGACACACTCTTCTTATGTCTAAATAGGCTCCCCATAGGGAAAAACAATCACACTACAGAGGCTCTTTTTTTTTTTTTTTCTTTTTGGTAACTAGACTAAACACAGTTTTATTTTTTATTAAAATAATCCTATGACATTGTTACTAACTTTTGGTTTGCTTAAGAAAAACGAGATTAATTTTTTTAATTAAGTTTTTTACATCTCTGTAACTTTCTTTATTGCTTTTAAAGTGCTTATGCTGTTAAGTTGCAGGGCTTTGACTCCTATGTCTAAATAGGACACCGACTCCTGCTAAATATTAAACACTGGCAGCAGTTAAAGCCTCATCTTCAAACCCAGGTGAAGATGACAATCAAAATAAACTGCTTTCATGAGACACAGGGCCAGAAGTTGAAACTATTCAACCCCTCCAGGCCCAGGGATTATCATGGAAGAGACAGGCACAGGAGACTATAAGGGCTAATTTTGAGACAGAAAATTAGTTTGGATTTTCTCTATAAATTAAACATTAATATCAAAGGCACAATGAAACAAGACAAGCATCTGGGCCCCTGTGTCAGATTAACAAGATTTTCTTGGAGCATTAACCAACTTAAAAAATATCATAAAAGGTTATAGAGACATTCATGGAAATTATATCTTGTGGTCAAGATGATTAAAATTTAATAGCTTTGTTTATAACATTTGAGAGACAAAATTAATTGGCCTCATGCTGTCTTTATTAGGACTTACTGTTTGAAAAATTAAGTCTACTCAAAGAATAAAGGTTTTAGACTTTTTTTGTGAACTCTTTGGGTTATCACTTTGGCTAAATGAATGACTTATTTTACAATGACCTGTGATCCTATTTTGTGATATCAGTGTTTTAAAATTTTTATACCTGATAAATTTTCAAATCAAATTCCGAAGTTTGTCCTTTAGACTTCATTAATTTTTTTTTTTAATATCATGTCCCCTTAAGTCCAAAAGAGACATGTTTGGTTCACTTAGTGTAATAAAATCATATAGGAGGCATTTTCAAATATGAAATGTTGTTTAATCATCTTTGAATTAAAGTTATATGAATGCATTAGTAGTATGTGTTTCAAAATCGTGTGATATTCCTATGATTGTGATACATCTTAGTATATTTTTTCAGAAGTAATTATGATTGCCATGTAAAATTGTTATATGCCACAGAAGTAATCAGATTTCTTTGTTAACTGTGTCTTCAACCATGGATGTTCTATAATTTTTATGATCCATAATTGTTGTTTCACTTTGATCCTTTTATAGGGCAGCTTATAATCATCTATAGATATCTGAGGAGTACTCTTAAATACAGGTTTCTGATCACTTTAGAGACAGACTGCCATTAAAATAGAAAAAATAACTTTCAGGACTCTCATGGAAAGCTGATGTATTCATGAGGATCGTTGATCCAATACTGAGCAGAACAGAAATAAATTGCATGGGCTCAACTAATAGAGTACTAAAATAATCTTTTATGACTTTTTAGTTAAAAAATTTGCTAATTCTTTTTGTTTTGTTTTTCAGAGTCAGGAAAACTTTTTCTTCTTTCAAGCTATTTGCAATTTTTGACAATTGAATAAAATATACTCTTATGAGCAAATTTTAAAATTTAATTCTTTTCTCCCTACCCAATTTCTTCAAAATTTCAGAGAGTGAGAGTATTCTTAATTTTTGACAATATAGTTATTTGCATAAGTTTTATAAGAATCTGTTTTATGGGCCGGGTGACGTGGCTTATGCCTGTAATACCGGCATTTTGGGAGGCCAAAATGGGTGGATTGCCTGATACCAGGAGTTCAACACCAGACTAGCCAACATGTCAAAACTGGTCTCTACTGAAAATATAAAAATTAGCTAGGCCTGATGGTGTGTGCCTGTAATCCCAGCAACTTGGTATGCTGAGGCACGAGAATTGCTTGAATCCAGAAGGCAGAGGTTGCAGTCAGCTGATATCACACCATTGCACTCTGCTTGGTGACAGAGCAAGGCTCTTTCTCAAAAAATAAAAAAAAATATATGTTTTACTTTATAACAAGGCATAATTGGAGTCACTGGTTATATTACCAAGGCTTTGAGTAAAATGGAATACTTTTAGATTGCCTTGAGAAAATGAGTCTGACCTATAGAGCTGATAAAAGTTCTTTGGAAAAACTGGCCTTATACCTTTTCCTTTATAGATACCTGACTTGTGGTAAATAAAGAATGTCACTTTCTGGCAGGCCTAGGAACCCCAAGTTTTCCCCAGATCTCAAAAAAAGAGGAATACACCCAATTCATATAGGTATCTTCAGGCACAGATAAATCCTTGGTCGGGCTTGAGACTTTTAAAAAGATCCAGTCTTAGATTCCTTATGGAAAAGCTCCCTGCAAAGCCAATTAAAAAAGAGAGAGAGAGAGCCTATATGGCAAATATTATTCTTGCTGAACCTTATGCAAATAATCAAACCAAGTGACAGAGCAGGAGCACTATCATCTTGGAAAAACACCGCCATTTTAAGTTCCAGCTCCCTTTCTAACCTCATGCATTTGAAATAATTTCTAACAACAAGCAGCCAAAAAGAGCAGACAGGAAATCACAGGTAAAACAGCTCAGGCGGGGAAGGAGGGGGCAAAGTCTCTTGGATAACCACCAAATTTCACACTCATACAATGGGCCCCAGTAAAACTGTGGACCCTAATAAGCACATTCCTTTCCCTTTAGGTGCATTAAGATAGGGAAGCTAAAAGCATACTCAGAGGGTATGCCTGCAGCTGCAGGAAAATGTATGAGAACCAACACACAACTCTCCCTCCCAGATAAGCAAGACAGACACAAAAACATTGCAAGCCTGTGATAATCTCTACAGAATTGAACCCTTAAATACTCTTAGTCTGGTAAGAGAGAATGCTCCTGACCTAACTCAGCAGGAAGTCCTTCTCAGGTTTATTCTTTTCTTTTAAAAAAAAAAATATTATACTTTAAGTTCTGGGGTACATGTGCAGAATGTGCAGGTTTGTTACATAGGTATACACTTGCCATGGTGGTTTGCTGCACCCATGAACCCGTCATCTACATTAGGTATTGGTCCTAATGCTATCTCTCCCCTAGTCCCCCATATCCCGACAGGCCCCTGTGTGTCCATGTGTTCTTATTGTTCAGCTCCCACTTATAAGTGAGAACATGTGGTGTTTGGTTTTCTGTTCTTGTGTCAGTTTGCTGAGAATGATGGTTTCCAGCTTCATCCATGTCCCTACAAAGGAAATGAACTCATCCTTTTTTATGGCTGCGTAGTATTCCATGGTATATATGTGCCACATTTTCTTTATCCAGCCTATCATTGATGGGCATTTGGGTTGATTCCAAGTCTTTGCTATTGTGAACAGTGCTGCAATAAATATACGTGTGCATGTGTCTTTTTAGTAGAATAATTTTTAATCCTTTGAGTAATCCATTACTGGGTAAAATGGTATTTCTGGTTCCAGGTCCTTGAGGAATTGCCACACTGTCTTCCACAATGGTTGAACTAATTTACACTCCCACCAACAATGTAAAAACATTTCTGTTTCTGCACATCCTCACCAGCATCTGTTGTTTCCTGACTTTTTAATGATCGCCATTCTAATTGGTGTGAGATGGTATCTCATTGTGGTTTTGATTTGCATTTCTCTAATGACCAGTGATGATGAGCTTTTTTTCATATGTTTGTTGGCTGCATAAATGTCTTCTTTTGAGAAGTGTCTATTCATATCCTTTGTCCACTTTTTGATGGAGTTATTTTTTTCCTTTTAAATTGTTTAAGTTCTTTAAAATAAACCAGTCTTTGATGGTTGAGCCACTTTTCATCTCTCTTTCCTCTTTGTTTAACACTTACACCAAGTATAATTAGACTAAAACTTATTTTACAAATGAATTGGTCCTATTATGATTTTGTCTTTAATAAAATTGGGGAATTGAAAAGAGAAAAGTAATGTTTCAAAATAAACTATAGTTCACCTGTTATTGGATTCTAGTCTCATCCAATGTTGTACAGTTCTTATTATTTTCTACAGTTTGGACTGAATCCTAAAACTTATCCTGACCACAAATCTCCAAAATAATGTTTTTAATTTTTTCCTTCTTTTTTTTCCATTTTTGTGAATTGGAAATACTAAATCTAGACAATTTAAATGTTAGAAGAAAATAACTGTTTTTTATATATACATATATATATATACACATATACATAAAACCATTTTCTTACATGCCTACTGGTTTATGGACTTCACAGTAATATGGCTTATATTAGCTTTCAGGATTGTTCTCCCTGTTTTGTTTGTTGTTTATCCTTTTCTCTCCCTCTTTTTTTTTTTTTTTTTTTGCTTCTTCCCCCTATTTTACTTCATAGGACCTTGTTTTTTTCACAACCTCCTAAAAATGAGCTTTTCTAACTATGTGGGACATATTCATCCAAGAATAAAGTGTCCTAGACTTGAGAGATCAACAAAAATCAAGATCAGAGACTCATTTTCTTCTAAAATGATTTCTCCAAAAAATTTTCTAAAAGAAATAACATTAAACTGCCTTTCCTTTTGCTCCTAAGCAGAGAGCTTTCTCCACAGGTAGCTATCTCCCTAAGTAGCTACTCTATGTTCACCTTAAGTGATGATTTACTGAGCATGAGAAGAATATATAATGGACTATTCCCCTGTCTGCCCCTTTTCTCTTGCAACATGTGGATTCAGTAATGTGACCACATCCTCTCTCTTTCCCCTCCAGCTTGCTTTTCCCCTTAAATATTCAAGCCCTCAGAATAATCTTTGGAAAAGGCACAGAATTGTCCCCTGGGCATGTCCTTAACCTTGACAACATAAACTTCTAAATTGATTGAGACCTGTGTCAGATACTTTGGGGTTTGCACTTCTCTTTAAATTACACTTTTAAGTTTTAAAGTTAATATTTTAAGTGTATTTATTGGTATTTACTACTTTTTTAAAAATAATTATTCTTATCATTCCAGGTAATTTTTTTCTCACTGTATGAATAAAAATATTGTTTACTTAAAAAATTTTATAATTATATTTATAATAAAAAAAGGTTTAAGGCCAATCAGTAGACCTTAAGAGCAACACTTATAATTTTAAACTAGTTGCCACTTCCATCAGTTTTTAATTTTTTTTCTTTTTTCCCTAATTTCTAAATATTTTCAGTAAATGAGGGAATATATTTAGCAATGGTTTCTGATTTTACAACTCTCTCATTTTGGTTCCTCTATGCAGCCTGCCTCCCCCGTTCCCCACAGAGGGTTATTCTAATTAGTCTAAAATAAAGAAAGACTGTGGGGAAACCAGGAGTCAAGAGACAGAGAAGCTAAAGTAATTCTGTGTAAGAATTGATGATTCTGTGGTGGTACTAAAATTGTGGTATCAAATCAAAGCAAGAGAAAAGTAGCATTTCAGAAACAAATCAGTAGAAAACCCATGGATATGCTCAATTTGCATTCATGAGTTATTAGGTAGGTGGGGTTTGAATGCAACAAGATTGCTTCACATATTTTAGAGTAAAAAAAGAAACATTTCCTTAAGTCATTTACCAACAGAAAAAAGATGTTGCAGTTTGAATTAGAGTCAGTTATGCTTATTGTTTGTGCCAAATTTTTTCTCATTCCTAATATATAAGATAAATTCATTTAATATTTTAGTTGGCTTATAGCACAGTAATACATTCTGTATGTGTACTACATGTCACAGTAGAGTCACATTTTCAGATAAGAACTAGTACACAGATTACTATGAATACTATATACCACTCTGTATTATTTATGCTCATTTATTATTTTGGGCTCTTTAAGAAGTAATGTTTGCTCAACTGCATGGTAATTTCCTAACAAAATTACATTTATGGAAACTTTAATGCATACAAAGTCTGACCCAGTTCAGGTACATTCAGAATAAAAATAGTCAAATGTAGGTAAATTAGTTATTTAAAATATTTAAAATTAGCATTTAAAAGCAAGTAATCAACACTTGTGATAAAATAAATTTTTATTTAGCATATTATGAAAGTAATAGTACTCATAGCATATATACTTTGGGTCACTTTTTCTTTTTTTAAGTTTTTTTTATTTTTAAGAACAGTTTTAGGTTCACAGCAAAATTGAGAGGAAGGTATACAGAGATATCTCATTTAACTCCTGCTTTCTCTCATGTGTAGCTTCCTCTATTATTTACATCCTCCAAAAGAGGATTTAACATTGTAACATTTGAGTAACATTTTGAGTTGTAACATTTGTTACAACTGATAACCTATATTGAAAGATTTTTGTCATTCAAACTCTATAGCTTACATTAGGATTCACTCTTCCTATGGTACATTCTATGGGTTTGAAAAAATGTATAATGACATGTGTCTACCATTATGATATCATGAGGAGTATTTTCTCTGCTCTATAAATCCTCTGTGTTCAGCCTACTTACCTTCACTCCTCTGTTAATCCCTGGCAACCACTGATCTTTAAAAGTTCCTTAAACTCACCAAGAAGAAAACAAACAACCTGATGTAAAAATGGGTGAAAGACTTTAACAGACACCTAACCAAAGAGGATATACAGATGGGAAATAACATACGAAAATATATTTCCCATCATATATCATCCAGAAAATGCAAACTGAAACAACAATGTGATACCACGACATATTAGAATGACCAACACCTAACAACACCAAATGGTGGTGAAGATGTGAACAAAAGAAATTCTGATTTATTGCTGGTGGGAATGCAAAATATTACAGGCATTATGGAAGCAAGTTTGACAGTTTCTTACAAAATTAAATGTACCATAAAATCTAGCAATTGCACTCCTTGGTATTTACTCAAAAGAATTGATAACATATCCAAACAAGTATGCATATGGCTGTTTAAGGCACCTTTAGTCATAATTGCTAAAACTTGGAAGACACTATAATGCCTTTAAGTAGGAGAATGTATAAACTGTGATGTATCCATACAATGGAATATGATTCATTGCTAAAAATAGATGAGCTACTAATCCATGAAAAGACATGGAGAAAGCTTAAATGCATATTACCAAGTGAAGGAATCTGAAAAGACTAAATACTATATAAGTCTAATTATGTGACAATTTTAGAAAGACAAAACTATGGAGTTTTTTTATGTTGAAAAAAAGAAAGTTACTTTCCAGTATTCACTCATTTCCATTGATATTCTGTAAACAGTCATTTTAATATATAATGTGCAAGTTGGTTTCTAGATTCTCTATCCTCTTTCATTGATTTATTTATGTCTTTTGCAATATCTCAACTAGTGTAACATACCAGTGAGTCCTGAAATCACATTGTGTATTTTCTACAATTTTATTATATTTTTCTAAAAAAGTTTTGTTGTATATTTTAGGTCCTTTCTATTCTATATAAAGTTTTAAAATTAGCCTGTCAAATTCTATAAAAAATCCTGACAGAATTTTGACAGTGGCGGACTTTCTTCTATAGATTACATTGAAGTGCATTGATAACTCAAAATAGTGAGTCTGTCATGTTTTGTAAGAGACTTAGCACAACTTTTATTAAAAGTATTTCTAAGTGTTTTATGTTTTTGATATATATATATTTGCTTTTATTAAGAAACACATTGATTTGCACTCTGTATATAATTTTATCTTAGTTCACATTTACAGAAAAGTTGCAAGGATTACACAAATAAGTCTTCATTTGGATTCACCAATTCCTTACATTTCCTCCCATAAAATTTATGACACTGATCTTTTTTTTCTGAGCCATTTGAGTGTATTCATGTCTTGCTAGTTTACCCTAAATTAGTGTGTGCATTTTCTTAGTACAACAACATTATCTTACACTACCACAGTGCAATTATCAAAACCGGGAATTATATCATAGATATAATACTAATATCTAACTTTAGTCCATACTCACATTTTGTCAATTGTCTTACTGATGTCCTTAATGGCTCCTTGTTTTCCTAGTCTAGAACAATGCATTACATTTAATTGCCAATTCTTTTCAGTCTCATTTAACCTACAAAATTATGTTTTTTCTTGCCCTTGACATTTAAACAGTACAGTCAAGTTAACTTGTTGAATGACTTTTAATTTTGTTTTCTGTGATAATTTCTTATAATTGAATCCAGTTTATAAATTTTTGGCAGAAATACTACAGAAATAATATTGTGTTCTTCTCAGGGCACAATATCAGGAAACACATGATATTGGTTTGTTCCTATATTGATATAGATAAAATTAGATCACTTTCATAAGATAGTGTCTGCCAAATCTCCTCACTGTAAAGTTAATATTATTTTTCTTGGTAATTGGTATGTTTTATAAGAGATATTTCAAGAATATAAATATAAATATTTTAAAACATAAATATCACATACATGAAAGTAATTATAAATATCCGGTTATTCATCACATGTTCACTAAGTAGTTTTAGCATCCACAGGTACCTTTCTAACTCCATCATTCTCTCCATCATTGACATTAGACGCTACACAGTAAGAAGTAGTTTTAACATTCTTTTTATTTATGCATTTATCAATTTATAGTCAAAAGGGCTCATGGAATCCTATTTTATCTAACAGATTATATTTTGTGATGATTGATATTTATTTTAATCCCATAATTGTCCCAGATTTGACCAGCAGGAATCCTTCAATCTGCTTATCATATTATTTTTATATGTCTCTTCATTCTTTGAATGCTTATTTACCTTTTGTTATAGCATGATTCTCTAAGCTCATTTCATAGTTTCCCTGACCCAGCTCTGCAATCAGCCTTTTCTCTGATTATTTTATTTTAGTAAGATATGGAATTTAAAAATCAAAATATAGGTCTATGTGTACTCATTGCTAATGCTATATGTGTGCTACTAGTTCTTTGCTGTCAAATATAATAGCTACATCAACATGTGGCTATTTTAATTTAAATATAAATCGGTTACAATAAATACTATTTAAAATCAGTTTTTCAGTCATACTAGCCACATTCAAAGTGCTTAATAGCCAAATGTGGCTAGTGATAGGATAAACAGCACAGATAGGAAACATTCTGTCATCACAGGAAATTCTATTAGATAATTCTGTTCTAGACCCACTCAGTGAAAAAAGCTAGAAGATATATGCACACACATATATAAACTAAACACATACATGGATTGAGCATTCCTACTCCAAAAATTCAAAATCCAAAATGCTCCAAAATCTGAAACTTTTTGAATGCCAACATTATGCAATAAATAAAAAATTCCATATTTACACTTGTATTTCTGATGGCTCAACATATACAACTTTGCTTCATGCACACAATTACTTAACATATTGTATAACATTACCTTGAGACTATGTATATAAGGTGTATATGAAGTTTAAATAAATTTCACGTTTAGACTTGGGTCCCACCTACAAGATATCTCATTATGTATAGGCAAATATTTCAAAATACAAAAATACCTGAAATCTGAAACACTTCTGGTCCCAAGCATTTTGCATAAGGGATACTAACCTGTTTATAATATACATATATACATATGTGTGTGTGTGTTTATATATATATATATATGATTTCAGAGTTCTTGCTATAACCTCAATTACATAAAACTTTCTAATTTTCCCCTTTTAAGTTTTAATTTACAAATCCAGTAGTGAAAATGTTGTCTCCTATTATTGTCAACATATTTCATATTTGTTTAAACATGGAAGAGATGGAAAATAGTTCACAATTTCTAACCTGTACTATAGTAAAGACAAAACTGGGTAAGAGGAATTCAATGTATTTTTTTAAAGTTTTGAGGCAAAATTTCCATACACTGGAGTTCTAATTCTGATCTATAGAGGATAAGCTCACCACAGCCTATCTTACCTGCTGATGAGTTTGGTGTTAAAATAATAGCGCTGCAACTAAAAATTCTGGTAAGAAAATAATTTGAGGACTCAGAAATTAAATAAAAGAAGGCAGCTGGTAGAGGGAAGACAGCACCTGAAGAAGTAATCTGTATGAGAGTTAACTTTATTTTTAGTTATTTTCTCATGACTTTGCCCCATGTGTGGGTCCCAGTTGCAAAGCTGTAAAGTGGGAGATAAAGGTGGCCAAAACTCTGGTAGAAACCCTTTCAGCTTGTGGGCCTTAATCATAGAGCTACATGACAGCAGCAGCGTGGGTGACTAAAACTCCGAGATGATCATCATGTTTTAGCTAGAGGAACTGAAAAATGGTAGCCCTGTGGGCCATAGCATGTGAGAGGGCATCCCAGACAGTAGAAAGCTGGAAAAGGGAATCCTCTAATGCAGCAGTTCCTCAACTTTTTGGCACTAGGGACGGAGTCGGAGGATGGTTTCTGGGTGAAACTGTTCCACCTCAGACCATCAGGCATTAGAGCTTCTCATAAGGAGTGGAGAAGCTCAGGCGGTAATGCTCACTCACCTGCTGCTCACCTCCTGCTGTGTGGCCCGGCTCCTAACGGGCCAGGACTGCTACTGGTCTTTGGGCTGGGGGTTGGGGACCCCTTCTCTAATGAAATCTTACAAGCCTCAGGCTTATTCCTGAGGTGTGAGTATGTAGGACCGACCTAAATTAACATAGTAAAAGCATTGAAAATTGGATTCAGATGTAAATTACGGTCCAATTCTCAGAGTTAGCCTTGAGTGGCACATGCATCAGGCAGATGCAAAGTCATGTAATAAAAATGTGGAAGAATTACCTAGAAGACAAGATAGAACTTGCAATCTAAAACCAATCATATTGATTACCTGCTGAGGCAAACAATAAGTACAAATTTTCTAGAGGACTGCATAAAGACCTATAGTCTATACAACGTAATATTCAAATTGTCCAGGATACAATCCAAAATCACACAACATACACTAATTTGAGACATGGAGACATTTCTCAAGGGAAAAAAATAATCAATAGTTGACAATGCTGAGATGATGGATCTGTTCAAATTATCAAAGAGTTTAACTATTATAAACATGTTCTCTGAGGTAAAAGTAAAAGCACTGAAAAAAATAGGAAGGTAAAAGTTTCAGCAAAGAAATATAAACTATTAAAGATAAATAAAAAATTTAGGACAAAAGAATACAATTTCTGAAATTAAAAAAAAATCTGGTTAGGCTCAATGGCACAATGGATGTGGTT
This sequence comes from Homo sapiens, assembly GCF_000001405.40. NCBI lineage: Eukaryota > Metazoa > Chordata > Mammalia > Primates > Hominidae > Homo > Homo sapiens. The sequence goes on along the minus strand of NC_000003.12, from coordinate 164,320,462 downwards.
GAGAGAACGGGCATTGAATTTGAATAAGTCAATAATAATTAAGTTATAAAACTGAGAAAAAAATAAATAGAACATCAAGGACTTTGAAACAATTATTAAAAAGGTCCAATAGCCATGCTATTGGAGTATATAAGAAACATTAATGCCAACCATACTCAAAATAGCTAATACTTGAAAACAACACAAATGTCCAATAGGACAATGCTTAAAAGAACCATATACTATTTATTCAATGGAATATTTCTAACCCATAAAAAAAATCACACTATTGAAATACCAACTAATATTAGAGAATTATAAATATGTTAAAAAATACAAGCCAGAAACAAAAGATTACATTATATATTATTTCATGTATATGAACTAAAATAATAGGCAGTATTAAGCTGCAGAGATAGAAATTGGAACTTGTTTGCCTTTGGGTAGAAGGATCAGTGGTAGAAAGAAAATATTTGGAAATGGAAAAAGGAAACATTCTTGGGTGATTAAAATATTCTATATCTTTATTACATTGTTGAGTTATATGAGAGTAAGCAATGTCAAAACTCATTAAATTGAACACTTAAGAGGTATCATTTTATTGTGTGGTAATTAGATACCAACACAAAATTTAGGAGATAAACAGTTATTTATTTCACCTAGGTAATTGAAATAGTATACACTGTTTCAGTAATACATGATGATAAGTAGATTTTAGTGTTTCTTATTAGCCACGTGTATATTTTCCTTTGTGAAGAGGCAGTTCTCCTATACTCCACCATTTTTTCAACCATTAGTTTTAAATCTTTTGTTGATTTGTAGGAGCTCTTTTATATTCTTGATATAAATACTTTATCAGAGGTATGTTTTGTAAATACTTTCTCCTAATCCTTTATAGGGAAATGATTTTCTTAATGGTGAACTGATGAGCACAAGGCTTTTAGTTTGCTAATCTTTTGTTTTTATTTATAGATGTTGCTTTTTGCTTTGTGTCTCTAAAATCTTTGCCTACCTCAACATCTCAAAGATTGCCTTTGTATTCTTTGAGTAGATTTATGATTTTACCTTTTAAATTTGGCCAAATTTAACCTCTAATTATTTTTTCTATTATTAGTCCAGGAATTGTGGCTTCTTTTCTACGGATATCCTTTTGTTCCTATATATTTGATGAAAACGTTATCTCCTCATTTAATTAATTTATAGTATATACTGTAGCCTCATTGAATTAAATTATTTTTAGAATTTGTTTTGTGATTCTGGTAGAATTTTTGTATTAAAAAATCATGGTTTCTATGATTAGAAAGATTATTAATCATCCTTTTCTATCTTTATAACTTCTATATATACATTTTTAGCTTGTTATAACAAGTAGGACCTTCTTTAAAAAATTTCAAATAGACATGCTGAGAGCACATGTGCATGATTTCTTGATCTTAGGAAGACAGTATTTAACTTTTTGCTATTAATTTTGATATCTGTTGTAGGTTTTTGGTAGATAATCGTTATGAGATTTATGACATAGCTTTCTTATTTCTTGATTTTCCCAGGGTTTTTAAAAAGAAAATGTGTTAAGTTTTTTCAGAAATTTTTTTGAATCTATCGAGATATTACTTTTTTTGGCTTGTTTTTTCTCCTTTATCTGATGAATTGCATTGATTGCTTTTCAAATATTGGTCTGATCTTGCACTCTGAAGGGCCCAGGAATTCAAACCCCATGATAATATGAAAGATTGAATAAATTATTAAATTTCTATTCCTTTCTTGAATACTAATTTATTTGTGATATATCACACTTAATCATGGTGTATTGTATATTTGTATATTGCTTATTTAGATTTGCTAATATTTTGTAAAGAATTCATGCTTTAATGTTCATGAGGTTATTGATCTGTGGTTTCATATAATATCATTGTCAAGTTTTATTTAGGTGGTTAATTAGGCCATGAAATGAGATGCCTAGTATTATTTCTTCTTTTATTATCTGGAATAATTTTATAAAAATTGGTATTTTTAAAATGTTTGATGTAATCATCAGATAAGCATGTGAGCTTTTATTTTTCTGTGTGGGATGCTTTCTGATAAATTAATTTGCTTTAGATATAGGGCTTTTCTGATTTTCTAGTTTATCTTCTGTGTGATTTAGTAAATGGTGTTTTTGAAGTAATTTGTCTATATAAACTTAGTTTTTGAATTTGTTGGTGTAAAGGTGTTCATAATATCAGACAGTTATCCTTTCTAATGTGCACTGGAATCCTGTCTTTATTCATGATGTTGGTAACTTGCATTTTCTTTTTCCTTACTTAGCCTCATTAGCTGTTTAAGTATTTTAATGATTATTTTGGAGAAAAATGTTGGGTTTTATTAGTTTGCTCTACAGTTGGCTTTTTAATAAACTTCAGTGACTGCTGCTGTAATCTTTACTATATATTCAATTTATTTATGTTTTAATTTGTTTGTCTTCCTATATCTTCTCACGATAGAATCTGGGTCAAATCTGATTCTTATCTATTGGTTACCTTTTTCCTCTTTCCTTTTGGGCCATATTTTCTTGCTTTTTTCATATATTATGTAATTTTTCTTATTCCATTACAGACATAATGTAGAAAAGAACAGTGGAGTCTGAAGTAATATTGTTTGTGTTTTCCACATAGTGTAAAGCCTTTTGTTTTGGGGGTTATTGGCATAAACAAGAGTCCAGCTGATTTGGAGGCAGGCCTGCATCTTTCCTCATATTGAATTAATATCTGGGTAAACTAACTCCCAGCCAACTCTTGATTTTGACAGAGTTTAAGCTGGAACGTGGTTGCGCAGTATTTCCATGAGCTTTTGATTTGCAGTTAGCTTCAACTCTGAAGTTCCCAGGAATTCAAACCCCATGATAATATGAAAGATTGAATAAATTATTAAGTTTCTATTCCTTTCATGAATATTAATTTGTTTGTAAATTTTTGAGCTGGAGAGGGTGAAAAACTGGTGGGTTTGTTAATGTTTTTCTTACGTTGAGAGTTCTATTAGATTTTAATCTGCCCTAACTGTCCACACTGTTATTAGAATTTCCTGATTTCTCCTCTCCCATGCAAAATCCATTTCTCTATTGCAGACACACTCCTCAAACTATCTGCATCCTGGACATGATTTACCCTAGCTTTTGCTAATGTGACTCTCCAGTTAACTAGAAAGCTTTGCACTTTTCTTAAATTCAACTCATTAAGGCTTCTTTGCATCCACCAATTTCAGTAGTTTTATAGAAAAATATGACTGAATGGTTTTCTTATGTGCTTATCTACAGAAGCAAAGGAATTACAAATCCTCTTCCATACTTACTCTCATTTGAAGTTCAAAGCTACCTTTGCAAGTTAAACTGAAAGATCTTTATTAAACATTAGACTAATGCTTAATCTAATCACAAAATATTACTATTAAATTTTTATAATTATCAAGTTTCATGGCCTCTAAGTAGAAGTATTGCTGTGTGCATATATTAAACACTTTAAATATTTGGAAAATATCTCAGGTTTATATCATACGTTTTTAACAATGGTTTTTATAGCAGAACTGAAACAAAGTTATTTATCAAAAGCTAGTCTTAGTATCAGTAACATTTAAAATGGTGTAAGTAGTCTTGTTAGTGACTGTATTTTCTAAGAATGTAATTTAAACTTACCAATATCAGATCATCTCAGTATGAAAACATTCTAGCAAAAGAGCCTTAAAAGATTTGATTTTTTAAATGCTTGCTTTTGATAGACACACAATAAAAATATATTAGAAGCACACAATTATGATTTAAACATCTAAATCAGAGTTATTGCCACTAAATTCAATAAAATTAAGAAGACTATTTACATAATGGAATTTTCTGCTATAATGAAGGCAAGGAGATTCAAATATTGAAGTTAACTTTCTAAGACTTAGAGATGCTGCCTTGACTAATTATATTACTTGTTAGTTTAAATTTAAACTGACAACTTTTCTCAAATGTTATGTAAAGAGATAACTGAAAACAACCTCACTACAACTTACTCAACACTTAAAACTCCGCACTTTAAAAGTGACATTTGCCAGGCTAATGTCAATAAACAACAAAATATAATTTACAGTAAAAGTTATAAAACATTGTTAGCTAGTGATGTACTGGATTGAGTATCATTAAGCCTCCAGGGCATTTCCTAAATTAAGTTAAATTGGGTATACTGAATGAACATTTACTTCTCCCTCATGTACCTTTATTCATAAATTCTCAATACTTTTATGCAACATAATGTTCAACATAATCCATAAAGACTTATGAATTATTCATACAATTCTACTACAAATATTTAACCATTGTATTTATACAAATATTTAACCATTGTAGTAATACCAACATATATAACCAGAGAGCTAATCATTTTTGTACTCCCATCTTCACTCTTCCTGTACCGTCATATCAAATATAACATTTTTAACAATCTGGCATGTATAATTCTCTGTGCAACCAGACCCTTATATATATGATTACTTATATTTTTTCTTGCTCAAATGTAAGTTTTTTAAAAAATCTAATTAGTAATACATTCACTGCTTAAATATAATATCATAAATCTGCAACTTGCTATTTTTATTTAAAAATATACCCAGGACATCTCCAAATAATGTATCCATGAATCTAGCTAGTTTATTTTACATTTCTAATTGATATGCATATATGTTATTCATAGATAATATTTATTAATCTATTAATTTAATTTTAAACGGACACATGGATACCCCATATAAATTATGTGCATACACATAATAATACAAATTATTATTGCCTTAAAAAATAAGGTGAGATGTTACATACTTCACTATGCTTTAGATTTTTCTCTCAATAAAGGAGCATGTTCATTTATCTAGTCAATATGTATATAATTCATAGACATGTTAAATGACTACATGATGTTCTATGCGAGTCTATAACATAATTGATTAAAACATTAGTAATCTGCTAATTGATTAAAACATCTAGTAATCTGCACTTACTTTGTTCCCAGTATATAGTCACTATAAATAGCATTGTAATAAATTATTTGCATATATTTATTCACATAACAGCATTTTTAATAACGTGAGATACAGTTCCAGGAGTGAATTTTCTGGGTCAAAGAGTATGTGGAAATTTAATTCTGAATAAATGTTACTTTATTGTTACCTGTAGAGTTACCACCAGTAATATGTGACAATATAACATTTGCTCATCCATTCCAATATCTTAATCATTTCTCATATCAAATAGGCACATAAAATATTAACTAATTATGCATGAGAGAATTCTCTTAATAACACTATCAAATATAAAATTCTTTATAGTATTTCTTAAACATTTGAAATTAATTTTCTGAAAATTTCATATTTGCATATTTGGCTATTCTATTTACTTTTTCTTGATAATTATGGATGTTGATTTTTAATTTTGAGTTTATGGTAAAAATATTCTTTATCACTTGATTATTTGTCTATTATTTTGAGTTGTATATTATTAACTAGTTCAAGTTTATTTCTTTCCAAAAAATAGTATTTGCTTTCATAGTTATATCATTCCTTTACTGTCCTTAAGATCACATTTCTGTCTTTTCTAATTTGTTATTTTTCCTATTTTTTAAATTTTTATTCTTTCATATTATGGTAATTTCTGTTCATGAATTTTCATCTGATTATTGACATAGTCGGATTTCATTAAATTTTACACAAGTATCTTTGTACTTTGCATTTCTAAATATTCTACAATTTCACTTTGATTCTCATTTTGATAAAATAATTGTGTCATGCACACACATACAGCATCAAATATACTTGCCTTTAATTAACATGTAAATTTTTATTATGAATTTTTAATATTGTATTTATTAATTTCAAATTATATTGCATTTTATCAGAGAAATAACATATTATCTTTGTCATTTTTGAAGATTATAATTTTGTCTTGGCAAAATGTTTATGTTTAAAAAAACAGAGATTCTTTACTTTCAAGGTATAAATTTCAACATCTATTAGATCTAATTTATTACCTGTGATATTTACATACTGAACAGCGTTATATTATCTTTCTAATGTTATGATCTTCAGACAACTGATAAGTAAAGTTCTGTCAAAATGTTCTTATTCTTATGAGTTAGCTCTAATTTATATATTTTAATGCCACATATTTGGTATGAAAATATGCCACAGATTGATCACCTTTGTGCTTTTTAAAATTTTCCTGCTTTGATTTTTTTCAGTGTTAACAACTCTTACTTTTGGTATTGTTTATTTGTATTCATTAAATATTCATTTATTTATTATTGCCAGTAATTTAAAGTGGCTTTACTTTAGATGAATTTCTAGTAGCATTTAGCATTATTTTTCATTGAGTCAGGGAATAATAATTAAACTGATATCCAGTTTTAATATGGCTGATTTGTTTATATCAATTTCTGGTGCATATTTTATTACATATATATATACACATGTATATATATACATATATACACATATATATGTATATATACACATATATGTATATATATGTACATATATATGTATATATGTGTATATATGTACATATATATGTGTATATATGTATATATATATGTATATATATACACACACACACACGTAATATTTTCTTTTTCCACTCATTGACTGATGGGCATTTGGGCTGGTTCCATATTTCTGCAATTGCAAATTGTGCTGCTATAAACATGCATGTGCAAGTATCTTTTTCATATAATATCTTCTTTTCCTCTGGGTAGATACCCAGTAGTGGGATTGCTGAATCAAATGATAGATCTATTTTTAGTTTCTTAAGGAATCTCCACACTGTTTTTCATAGTGGGTGTACTAGTTTGCATTCTCACCAGCAGTGTAAAAGTGTTCCCTTTTCACCACATCCATGGCAACATCTAATATTTTTTGATTTAATTTTGGCCATTCTTGCAGAAATAGAGTGATATCACATAGTGAATTTGATTAGCATTTCCTTGATCATTAATGATGTTGAGCATTTTTCCATATGTTCATTGGCCATTTGCACATCTTTTGAGAATTGCCTATTCATGTCCTTACCCACCTTTTTGATGGGATTGTTTTTTTTTTTGTTTGTTTGTTTTTTTCTTGCTGATTTGTTTGAGTTCTTCGTAGGTTCTTGATATTAGTCTTTGTCAGATATATAGGTTGTGAAGATTTTCTCCCACTATGTGGGTTGTTTGTTAACTCTGTTGGTTATTTCTTTGGCTGTGAAGAAGCCTTTTTGTTTTAAGTTCCATCTATTTCTCTTTGTTTTTGTTGCATTTGCTTTTGGATTCTTGGTCATGAAATCTAAGTCAGTGTCTAGAAGGGTTTTTCTGATGTTATCGTCTATAATTTTTATGGTTTCAGGTCTTAGATTAGTTTTTGATGTATTTTTAGTTGATTTTTGTATAAGGTGAAATATGAGGATCTAGTTTTATTCTCCTATGTGTGGCTTGCCAATTATCCCAGCACCATTTGTTGAATAGAGTGTCCTTTCCCCACTTCATGTTTCTGTTTGATTTGTTTGATCAGTTGGCTGTAAGTATTTGACTTTATTTCTGGGTTCTCTATTCTGTTCCATTGGTCTATGTGCCTATTTTTACCCCAGTACAATACTGTTTTGGTGACTATGGCATTATAGTTTGAAGTTGGGTAATGTGATGTCACCAAATTTGTTCTGTTTGCTTAGTCTTGCTTTGGCTATGTGAGCTCCCTTTTTGGTTTTATATGAATTTTAGGATTTTTTTTTCTAGTTATGTGAAGAATATTGGTGGTATTTTGATAGGACTTGCACTGAGTTTGTAGATGGCTTTTCGCAGTATGATCATTTTCACAATACTGATTCTACCCTTTCATGAGCATGGAATGTGTTTCCATTTCTTTTTGTCATCTGTGATTTCTTTCATCAGTGTTGTTTAGTTTTCTTTGCAGAGGTCTTTAACCTCCTTGGTTAGGTATATTCCTAAGTATTTTATTTTGTTATTATTACTATTTTTTTGCAGCTATTGTAAAAGGGATTGAGTTCTTGATTTGATTCTCAGCTTGGTCGCTATTGGTGTATAGCAGAGCTACTGATTTGTACATTAATTTTGTATCCTGAAATTTGCTGAATTCATTTACAAGTTCTAGCAGCTTTTTGGATGAGTCTTTAGAGTTTTCTATGTATACAATCATATCATCAGCTAACAGGGACAGTTGACTTCCTCTTTACCAATTTGGATGTCCTTTATTTATTTATCTTCTCTATTTGCTCCAGTTATGACTTCCAGTACTATGTTAAATAGAAGTGGTGAAAGTAGGCACCTTTGTCTTGTTCCAGTTCTAAGCAGGGGTGCTTTCAACATTTCCACATTCAGTATAATGTTGGCTGTGGGTTTGTTATAGATGGCTTTTATTACCTTGAGGTATCTCCCTTCTTTGATGATTTTGGTGAGGGTTTTAATTATAAAGTGATGCTTAATTTTGTCAAATGCTTTTTCTGCATGTATTGAGATGATCATGTGGTTTTTGTTTTTAATTTTGTTTATGTGGTCTATCACATTTATTAACTTGTGGATGTTAAACCATCTCTTCATCCCTCATATGAAACCCACTTGATCATGGTGGATTATCTTTTTAAAATGCTGTTGGATTTGGTTCACTAGTATTTTGTTGAGAATTTTTGCATCTGTGTCCATCAGGAATATTGGTCTGTAATTTTCTTTCTTTGTTATGTCCTTCCCTGGTTTTGGTAGTAGGATAATACCGGATTCATAGAATGATTTAGGGAGGATTCCCTCTTTCTCTATCTTGTGAAATAGTGTCAATAATATTGGTACCAATTCTTTGAATGTCTGATT